>NC_000023.11:91250420-91553451 GCF_000001405.40 Homo sapiens | reverse complement strand
AGATACTTACCTTGTTAGCTATGTCAAACAAGAAAAATGTGGAGTTGTTGGGTAGTTTCTTCTAGGACAACTGATAGATTTCCCTTAACTCTACAATGGTTTCTCTTCATTTATTGGTTATGGGCCACAGCTATTTTTTTCTGTCTGAAGTGCAGTAATATACCCTGAAGATGAAAACAAAAAAATGTAAACTACTGTTTTTCCACTGTAGGTTTCATTTCCACAATTCTGGCCTAATGCTTTAATCACCAGTTCTGGAGAAATCACTGAGCAGTATTCCGGGAATAGTAAAACGATTTTGTAAGCTTGATGAACACTGTGACAATAAAGTAATTAATAGTTATAAGCAATTGTTATTTTTTCCATGTATGAATTACTTAGAGTAGCAAAAATTAAATCATTCCAGTCATCACAATATTTTTGTTAAGGCAGTCCATTTCTTCATAGGAATATTTCTTTGTAAGATAATTAAACTGTTTTAAAGCAGAAACATTGGAATTTTTATTACATAGAAAAAAAAACATGAACAACAAGCATACAACCAAGTATACATTTCTCATCTGGATGCCTGAATATTTCTCTCCTCTTTTTGTGTGGTATCATTTAGTTTCTTTACCAGCAACAATCTTACCATTATTGGAAATTCTTCTGCCATACATATGTGAGCTGAGCCAAGTATTTAATTATAGGCTGTTTCCCTTTACAAGAACCTGACAGAAGAACCATTTTATTTTTTGATAGACTGTTGAAGGAGAAATACTGTAGCTTGCCAGAATGATGGAACACAGAATATCACAAGGTTGACTGAATGTTCTGCTTTTCAGCAGATGTCTGTAATAGTAATCCCTGAGGGTGGGAGGGTACTCAGTGAGATGTCTAACTATTGCCAAATAAAAAACAAATCCATATTTGGTTAAGAAGAGACTTTATTGGAAAAGACTGCTGCATAAGGGGGGTAGGACCATTGCAATTGGGTAAAAGATTTGCGAACCTTGAGCCTCTATAAGGTCAAACGTAAAGGTCTTTTTTTTATTATTATACTTTAAGTTTTAGGGTACGTGTGTACAATGTGCCAGTTAGTTACATAGGTATATGTGTGCCATGCTGGTGTGCTGCACCCATTAACTCGTCATTTAGTATTAGGTATATCTCCTAATGCTATCCCTCCCCCCTCCCCCTATGGAGGTCTTTTTAAAAATAAGGAGTAAACAAGGCTAGAGGAAACTCGGTGTAAGGGAGTAGAACAAACAGGTAACTTGAATAGACAGGTTATCAGGCAATGTTTTTTCTTATACTCAGCCTATTTTTCAGAAGGACTGTTAAAGACGGGCTGGCTGTTCACACTTTGATGCTGGCTTGCACCGAAGGTTGGCCAAACTTCAGATTTCTCAGAGGAGGGAGGAAGCCTGACTAAAATTTGATCAAGTCAAGTTAGTGGGTAATTTGTACAAATTGATCAGTTTGAAGGAACAGTTCGGCTCATCATTTATGACACACAGAATGGGAATTTGGAGGATGCTTCTGCCCTTGTCATAGGTAGCCAAGGGAGTCATCTGCTAGTCTTATCCAAGTCACATGGAGAAGGGCATTTCTTTATGGTAAGTCATTTCCTAGAATACGAAAATTTGATGGTGGTCGGGAGGTGTGGAGGTGGAATTTATCTGTGTTTTCCAGGAGCATAACTTCAAACTTCAATGTTGTTAATATTTTTTCAAGATACCACTAGAATATATTGAGAGGGGCCCATATTTGGTGATAGATTTCTTGTAAAGAATACTTGGAGTGATTTATTCATGTAAGGATATTCATGTCTTATTGAATGCCAGGTAAACAAATATATTGCCCATTGTTTACTGGGCTGTTCCATCTTTAAAATCAGTTGTAGAATATTATGGAAATCTTTTCTATAGACAAGGCAGAATCTTTCATTGTTACCAAATACAAATCTTACAAGGAAATTCTTAACATAGAAATAAAAAATCTTAGTTTGCTATAAATAAAAAATCCCTACAGAAGAAACATGCAGTCTTAAAAATAACAACAATTACACATTTCGGGGTTCATATATTATGATAGAGAACTTGGGGAAAGTGAGGGTCTGAAGTAGCAATCCTTGTTTCTATTTCTACCAGGTTATAGAACTTTGGAGAAGGGCACAGAATGAAAACACCTATTGTTTCGCTGTCCTTTGCCCTCCACATGATCACCATATAATTTAAGAATAACCTTAGGTTAAAAATAAGCACACGGTCTCTTTAATAATTTTGATTTGTTTGCCCTCATCATTTAGACTCCATCGTGTCCTCTTCACTGTAGACCATAAATAATGTCTATGTATCATGGTTTGTGTTGTGTTAACCTTGCCTTAACAGTAAACCCTTATGTTGGAATTTTGCTTGTCTTAGCATAGACAGGCCTAAGTCTGAGCTACATGCTTTCTGACACATGGAATTTTATGATACTGTATTTCCTTTTTCAGATGTGCTGTCACGTGTGTTGATTTAAATTCTGCACAGCTCCTATGTTGCTATCACCCAGGTGTTAACGCATTTTCTCTTCATAAATGACTTATCAGACATTGTAGGTCCCCTTCATTAACTTTCTCGTTAAATGCTTCCACTACCAGATACTTAACAATGTTGGAACAAATGATTCTTTTGGTGTACCTTAAATGTACTGAATAGCTCAGTAGATTTCATAAAGTTTTGTTCATTGGTATTTTGCCCCATAAACACATGGTTATGTTGGTTGAGATGTTATTTTATGTTGACCTGGGAACTTCAACATAGTACTGTAAACAATGTGTTTTGTAATATGGAATCTTAACTATATATCATACAGTGTGTTGGTGTATGTTGACTACTCTTATTTACCTCATTTTCTCATAAATATCTTTGCGGACAAAATTCTTATATAAATAAGATACAAATGATTTTTCTTTGTTCTATCTGTGGCTATAAACATTTAGAAAAATGGGTTATTGAGTAGAGACGTCTTTAAAAAGAAACCCTGGATAATGGGAAAATTATCCACTGCTTGAAAAGATTTGAATGTCTAATCTCATTTATTCTTTTTTGTTCACAGGTGCCTTAAAGCATCACATAATTGCCAATTATTCCATAATTGTATCTTACCACAACCTTCAAATGAAATCTATTTTACTATGAAACAATTAGTTAAGTGGTATAATCACAGACACATTCTGACTATCAGAGATAGAAATGGCATTTGGTAATTTATTTTAAAAACTAAATTTTGCTGTAACTAATCTACTTTGTGAATTTATCATTTTTCCAGAACAGAAATTTCCACCTGTGTTTGCTGTGAATCTTGTAAGCTAACAACTTTTAAAACCACAAAATTTATGTTAGGTCATGTAATGTATGACTGGATTGGAAAGAGAGCTACAATGAAATTAAATCCACTATAATTCACTTTAATGCAATCCAGATATTATTTTGCCATATTCTTTTCTTTTCTCATATATGCTCTCTAGAAATTTATGAGAGAAAGATTTTAACAGAACAAGAACGTTGAAGATCATTTTAGCAACTGAAGAACTGTATTTCTAATTTTATAAAATGCTAATTACAGCAGAAATTTCACTCTAATTTTTTGAAAGCCTATAGCTATGATGTTGCCTAATAATGGGAATATTTCATTTACTAAAGTAAAGCCTGATATATGATTTTGTTATAACTAAGTAATTTGGAATGATTTAGATCACAAAGGCTGCCCACAGTATTCTTTTTTAGTCTCTTTCTTAGAGGTCAAATTTAGTATAAAGATAAGAGTATTATCATTAGAACACAGGATAGGCTCACGCCTGTAATCCCAGCACTTTGGGAGGCCGAGGCGGGCGGATCACGAGGTCAGGAGATCGAGACCATCCTGGCTAACACGGTGAAACCCCATCTCTACTAAAAATACAAAAAATTAGCCGGGCGTGGTGGCGGGCACCTGTAGTCCCAGCTACTCGGGAGGCTGAGGCAGGAGAATGGCGTGAACCCGGGAGGCGGAGCTTGCAGTGAGCCGAGATCGTGCCACTGCACTCCAGCCTGGGCGACAGAGCGAGACTCCGTCTCAAAAAAAAAAAAAAAAAAAAAGAACACAGGATAAAGTGGTAACTTGGATTTCTTTCCAATTTATGATCTACACATAGGAAATTTTTTAATTTATGAAATAGGAAAACATGTTTTTTTTTTCATTTCCAAATCTTAGACAAAGCAAAGTGAAGACCTCAGAGGAAGCAAATGCTTGAAAACATAAAATTGAAAAGTAATCAGGCAAATAATTATGTGATCGCTGACACTGACTCAGATATAATAGGGTTTCTTGCTCACTTACAACTCATACTTAATGAAAAACAAGAAATAGGAAAGAAGCCCAAAGCAGTGTGCTTTTTCTCCCTGTGGGCATTAAAGTCTGAATAGATCTCTGAAAAAAAAACACTACCTGAAGATTTTTAGATACAGTAGAGACAAATAATCTAAATACTAGAACTGAAAATCACCTGTTTCTAGAAAGAAGAATATTTTACTTCTGTCAGAATATAATTTATTTTAAAGACAGTAAAAAATGATTGTCTATCACCCTATATATAGATATCAGACCCTAGTAATTTTATTCTCAAAATATTTTATCTTTCATCATATTTGTGTTGTCAAAACTCACCTCTGTGTGTAATTGGAGCCTTGTAGTTATTGAAGGAACATTACATATATAAATATATATGTTTCAAGATAGATCAGCGCAAATCTTTATAATCTTATAGACTTCTTCCCTGATTATATAGCAAGCCATTCATAGTCCTGTGCCACAATATCAACTATAGCTTTCCAAACATTGAATATCCTCAGGCAACAGTAGAGACTAGAGAGGAGATCTTTTTTAAAAAAGTAGACATGTACACTAAAATGATAGTATTCACTCCAGCACATAATTGGAGGTTTAATTCATGAATACTTTCTGCTTTTTAATATCTTGTTTTCTTACTCTTTTCTCTGATTATTTCAAATGTATTTTGATTTAAAACTAGACATTCTTACCTTATCCATACGGTCCTTGGCCCTTTTCCTTTTACCTGGTACAAATCATGAATCTCACAGGCTAGCCATCAGCAATTTAAATTTTACCACTATCCAGGGAAATGAGAAGCCAATAATGCCATTTTTGCTGATGTGGCTATTAAGGCACAAAATCGGTTGGAGGCGAAGTGGAAAAGAAAACTCTTAAACTTTTCACTTCTAGCCCATTGTTTAATGACATCTTCTTCATTTCATTGTTAATGTCATAAAGGATGACTCAAACTTAAGAATTCATATTTTGTCATTTACACACAGCCTCCCTTTTTCTTCTCTCCTTTGAATGCAGATCATGAAAATTGATAATAAAAACACTAATAGAATAAAGTTAATATTAAAAGTCACTTCTAGCTCAGGTTTTTAAGGCAGCAAGTATATAGAAACTGAATAGATCAGGAAATATATAAATGCATAATAATTTAAAACGTTAAACTCAAGAGAATCATAAGATAAAGTTAGAAATAACATCCAAAGAAATATCTTATATTTCTTCTTTTTTTCTGAAATAGTAACCTGTACTAACTTCATTATATACGTATTTATTTAAAAGAAATAGTGGTAAAATGATTGAGATGTGATTAACTACTGTTTCCTTAATTTCCAATATATTTGCTTCTCATATACACCTTTGAAATGTGTTGTTAAAAACTTAGAATGTATAAAATTACTGTATCTCAATGTCTAGAATTAGTACAAATATTATCATTACTTTAGATAACTGAAAAGAAAACACTGGACATGTTTCTTTCAGCTGGTTTTATAGTGGATGATTAATAATAGAAATGTGGCAGTACGAACGATCTAAATGCTTTGAGTTTTTAGAACTCTTGCAAATAAATGATTTTTTTCTTAATAAGAAGTGGCCCATAGGCCCAGCTGCAATAATTATTGCATTTGTACATGACAGAGATTTTATGGCATTTAGTCCAAATTCAGAAAGATTCTTTCTTTCCTTAAATACAAGGCAAATGCCCCTATGGATCCATTTACTGAGGTGCAGGAGGCCAATGAGGTCAGTCAAGCATTGCAGAGATTTGTGTAAAAGACCTTGTGATCACTGGGAGCCATTGGGAGATTAGTTCGGCATGGATTTTGTGAGCAATTTATTCAAGACCTGATTCTCATTCACACAAGACTGCTCAACAGGACACCTTTGATTCTCCGGAATCAAAAGGTGAATAGCAAATTAGCTGGGAATGGCACATGCCTGTAATCTCAGCTACTAGGGAGTCTGAAGCAGGAGAATCTCTTGAGCCCTGGAGGTGGAGGTCGCAGTGAGCCGAGATTCTGTTACGGCATCCCAGCCTGGGCGACAGAAGGAGACTCCGTCTCAAAAATGAAATAAAATAAAACAAGTGCGAATGGCATTTAGTGCTTAGGTAGGCTATGGCCTCGATATGCCCTATATCCTAGCATTTGATTAATGTGGGAGAAAAAAAAACATTAAAAAGCATGTACATAGACAGTGAATGTTATAAAATGGTGGAAGCAACTGGGTCATTCTTGTCTAATTTAACTCTTAACCATTTTACAAATTATTTTTCTTCACTTTTAAAAACCACAAGAAGATTTTTCTAGTGGTTTACATTTTAAAACCACCAAAGTTTAAATTGTAAACCAACAAACTATCTAATAAAAAGACATGTACTTTGAGATGCCTTAATTTTAGGGCATGCATTTTTCTATTGTAATAGGCTACACTGTTCCCTGTATCCTTTTGTTAACTAATTACAGTCATGTTATCAAAATTGGAATCCTTCTCCTTTTATAGGAGTATAAGAAAGGGAAAACAGACTCTGCCTTGAGCTTATGTTCATCATCGTTTCATTGTTCCATGTTAGTTTTCTGTTTACTTGCATCATATCAGTATTCTGAATTGTATTTTAAATTATTGACTGTGCACCTACACTGAGTTGCTGTGAACTGGGGTTCTCAAGATGAATCAGACATGGTCATTGTCTTCAAAACTCTCAAAACCTGATAGGAGACAAACACATAGACAATTGAAATGCAATGTGATAAAATCAATATATAGACAGCTCAGAGAGCACAGACATCGCATCTGTATTTCTGTTTACATAAAAGCAGCATCTGGGTATACTTTCATATAAAAGGTAATGATTAAGCCACAAAACAAGGGTAGCTGGTAACTAGGGAATGAAAGGAAGATCATTCTAGACAGGCAGAATAATGTACATGAAGGTGCAGAGATATAAAAAAAATAATGGTGTTAGGCAACAGCTAACAGTTCAGTATAGGATTCATGAGAAAAAGTGGTATGAGAGAAAACTAGAAGTTAGGGACTTCTCTGTCACTCTAAGTGATTTTGCATATCACTCTAAGTATTTTATAACTTCATCTATGGGTATTAGGCCTCTGTCAATAAGTAATTTTAGGCAGAGGCCTGACATAAGCATCTGCGTTATAGAAAGGTTTCTTTGTTGGCACTGAGTTGGGGGGATGCACAAAGGAGGTGAGGGCTGGGAGGTCATAGAGGTAGGCTGAATAACTGGTTTAGGAGGCTGCTGGCACTGTGTAATAGACACCTGTCATCGATGCAAGGGCCATGAGATGGAAGAGGAGAGGACAGAACAAAAAAAATTATTTCAGAAGTAGAATTCACCCATCTTTGTTTCTTTTACATGAGACAGTCTTGTCTAGGATGGTTTTAAAGTACTTTTGAATGGTAATTCAAGATTGTCAGGCTTTAGGCACCCATCTATGTTTCCATTTCACAAATTGTCCCACTGCAAACCAGTGGCAGTATATGAGTACAGTCAAATATTAACTATTTTTTAGTTATCTGTCCCTAGATCAATGCACTAATATTAAGCAAATGGACTTGCATGTCTCAACTTGACTCTATTAAGATGTAACAAGTTTTAAACTTGTTTACAAACATGAAGACAAAATGCTTCCCAGATATTTTTCTTTTTCACCAAGTCATGCAAATAATATTTTTTTCTTTTTCTCTTTTTTTTTTTTACTTTTAAGTTCAGAGGTACATGCACAGGTTTGTTACATAGGTAAACTTTTGTTATGGGGGTATGTTGTACAGATTATTTTATCACCCAGGTATTTTTTTTTTTTGACATGGAGTTTCACTCTTGTTGCCCAGGCTGGAGTGCAATGGTGCGATCTCAGCTCACTGCAACCTCCACCTCCCGGGTTCAAGCTATTCTCCTGCCTCAGCCTCCCTAGTAGCTGGGATTACAGGCACCCACCACCACGCCCAGCTAATTTTTTGTATTTTTGTTAGAGATGGGGTTTCACTATGTTGGCCAGGCTGGTCTCGAACTCCTGACCTCAGGTGATCCACCCGCCTCAGCCTCCCAAAGTCCTGGGATTACAGGTGTGAGCCACCGTGGCTGGCTATCATGCAGGTATTAAGCCTAGTACCCATTAGTTATTTTTCCTGACCCTCTCCCACCTCCCACCCTCCATCCTCCACCCTCCAATAGGCTCCAGTGTTTGTTGTTCTCTTCTATGTGTCCATGTGTTCTCATCACTTAACTCCCACTTATAAGTGAGAACATGTGGTGCTTGGTTTTATGTACCTGTGTTATTTTGCTAAAGACAATGGCCTCCATCTCCATCCATGTTCCTGCAAAAAAAAATAATAATAATAACATAATCTCATCCCTTTCAATGGCTTCATAGTATTCCATGGTGTTAATATGTACCACATTTTCTTCATCCAGTCTATCACTGATGGACATTTAGGTTGATTCCATGTCTTTGCTATTGTGAATACTGTTGCAATGAACATGTGTGTGCATTTGTCTTTATAATAGAGTGACTTATATTCCTTTGTGTATATACACAGTAATGGCATTGCTGTGTTGAATAGTATTTCTGTTTTTAGGTCTTTGAGGAATTGCCACATTGTCTTACACAATGGTTGAACTAATTTACACTCCCACCAAAAGTGTATACGTGTACCTTTTTCTCCACAACCTCGCCAGCACTTATTTTTCAACTTTTTAGTAATAGCCATTCTGACAGGTGTGAGATGGTATTTCATTGTGGTTTTGATTTGAATTTCTCTATTTATAGTGATGTTGAGCTTTTTTATATGATTCTTGACCACATGTATGTCTTCTTTTGAAAAGTGTTCATATCCTTTGCCCATTTTTTAATGGGGTTGTTCATTTTTTTTTCTTGTAAATTTGTTTAAATTCCTTATAGATGCTGGATATTAGACCTTTGTTGGATGCACAGTTTGCAAAAATTTTCTCCCATTGTGTAGGTTGTCTGTTCACTCATGATAGTTTCTTTTGCTGTGCAGCTCTTTAGTTAAGTAGATCCCATTTGTCAATTTTTGCTTTCGTTGGGATTGCTTTTGAGGTCTTCATCAGGAAACATTTGCCTGTGCCTGTGTCCTGAATGGTATTACCAAGGTTGTCTTCTAGGATTTTTATAGTTTTGGGTTTTACATTTGAGTCTTTAATCCATCTTGAGTTAATTTTTTGTATAAGGTCTAAGGAAGAGGTCCCGTTGTAATTTTCTGCATATGGCTAGCCAGTTATGCCAGCACCACTTATTGAAGAGGGAATTTTTTCCCCATTGCCTTTTTTGGTCAGGTTGTCAGAGATCAGATAGCTATAGATGTGTGGTCTTATTTCTGGAGACTTTATTCTGTTCCAATTGTCTATGTGTCTGCTTTTGTACTGGTACTGTGCTGTTTTGGTTACTGTAGCCCTGTAGTATAGTTTGAAGTCAGGTAGCATGATGCCTTCAGCTTTGCCTTTTGCTTAGGATTGCCATGGCTATTCAGCCTCTTTATTGATTCCATATGAATTTAAAAAAAAATTTTTAGCTCTGTGAATAATGTCCATGGTAGTTGAATAGGTATACCATTAAATCTATACATTGTTTTTGGCAGTATGTCCATTTTAATGATATTGATTCTATCCATGAGCATGGACTGTTTCTTCATTTGTGTCATCTCTGATTTCTTTGAGCAGTGGTATGTAGTTCTCCTTGTAAAGATCTTTCACCTCCCTGGTCTACTGTATTCCTAGGTATTTTATTCTTTTCATCATAATTGTGAGTGGGAATTCATTCCTAATTTGGCTCTCAGCTTTACTGTTGTTGGTGTATAAAAATGCTAGTAATTTTTGCACATGGATTTTTTTTTTGAGACAGTGTCTCACCCTGTGGCCCAGGCTGGAGTGCAGTGACGAGATCTTGGTTCACTGCAACCTCCATCTCCTGGGATCCCACCACCTCAGCCTCCCGAGTAGCTGGGACTATAGATGCACACCACCGTTTTTTGTTATTTTTTTTTGTAGACACAGAGTCTTGCCATGTTGCCCACACTGGTCTTGAACTCCTAGGCTCAAACAATCCTTCTGTCTTGACCTCCCAAAATTCTGGGATTACATGCCTGAGCCACCTTGCCCTGCCTGCACATTCACTTTATATCCTGAGACTTTGCTGAAATTGCTTATCAGCTTAAGAAGTTTCTGGGCTGAGACTATAAGGTTTTCTAGATATAGGATTATGTCATCTGCAAAGAGGGATAGTTTGACTTCTTCTCTTCCTCTTTAGATGCCATGTATTTCTTTCTCTTGCCTGATTGCCCTGGCCAGAACTTCTAATACCATGTTGAATTGGAGTGGTGAGAAAGGGCATCCTTGTCTTGTGCCCGATTTCAAGGGGAATGCTTCCAGCTTTTGCCCATTCAGTAAGATGTTGGCTGTGGGTTTGTCATAGGTGGCTCTCATTATTTTGAGGTGTTTTCCTTCAGTACCTAGTTTATTGAGAGTTTTTAACATGAAGCAATGTTTAATTTTATCAAAGGCCTTTTCCACATCTATTGAGATAATATTGTGGTTTTTGTCTTCAGTTCCGTTTATGTAATGAATCATATTCATTGGTTTGCCTATATTGAACCACCCTTGCAACCCAAGGATAAAACCTCCTTAATCATGTTGGATAAGCTTTCTGATGTGCTGCTGGATTAAGTTTACCAGTATTTTGTGGAGGATTTTTGCATTAATATTCATCAAGGCTATTGACCTGAGGTTTTCTTTTTTTGTTGTATTTCTAAGAGGTTTTGATGTCAGGATGATGTTGGCCTCATAGAATGAGGTTGGGAGGAATTCCTTCTCCACAGTTTTTTGGAATAGTTTCAGTAGCAGTGGTACCAGCTCTTGTTTTCACATCTGATAGAATTCAACTGTGAATCCATCTAGTCATGGGCTTTTGGAGGGAGGTAGGCTATTTATTACTGCCTCAATTTCAGAGTTCTTCATTTGTCTGTTCAGGGATTCACTTTCTTCTTGGTTCAGTCTTGGGAGGTTGTGTGTGTACAGGAATTTATCCATTTCTTCTAGATTTTCTAGTTTTCGTGCATAGAGGTTTTCATAATATTATCTTATGGTTGTTTTTATTCCTGTGGGGTCAGTGGTAATATCTCCCTTGTCATTTCTTATTGTGTTCATTTGAATGTTCTCTCTTTTCTCCTTTATTAGTCTAGCTAGTGATCTATTTTATTTTTTTTTCAAGAAAGCAACTTTTGGATTTGTTTGATCTTTTGAATTTTTTTTTGTGTGTGTATGTCTATTTCTTTTAGCTCAGCTCTGATCTTGGTTATTTCTTGTCTTTTGCTAGCTTTTGGGTTTGTTTACTCTCGGTTCTCTAGTTATTTTAGTTGTGAAGTTAGGTTGTCAATTTGAGATCTTTATAACTTTTTGATGTGGGCATTTAGTGCTATAAATTTCACTCTCAACACTGCCTTATGTGTGTCCTAGAGATCCTGGAATGTTATATCTTTGTTCTCATTAGTTTCAAATAACTTCTTGATTTTTTTTTTTTTTGAAGTTTCTCTCTGTCACCCAGACTGGAGTGCAGTGATGCGAACTTGGCTTACTGCACCCTCTGCCTCCTAGATTCCAGTGATTCTCCTGCCTCAGCCTCCCAGGTAGCTGGGACTACAGGCACGTGCCAACATGCCCAGCCAATTTTGTATTTTTAGTAGAGACAGGATTTCACCATTTTGGCCAGACTGGTCTCAAACTCCTGACTTCAGGTGATCTGCCCGCCTTTGCCTCCCAAAGTGCTGGGATTACAGGCGTGAGCCACCTCACCTGGCCGAACTTCTTGATTTCTGCCTTAATTTTATTTTACCCAAAAGTCACTCAGGAGCATGTTATTCAATTTCCAGGTAATTCTATGGGTTATTTTTATGAATTTCTTAGTCTTGATTTTGAATTTGATTGCAATGAGGTCCAATAAACTGTTTATTATAATTTCAGTGTTTTTGCATTTGCTGAGGAGTGTTTTACTTCTGATTATGTGATCTATTTTAGAGTACATATCATGTGGTGATGAGAAGTATGAAATCCCAGCTACTTGGGGGGCTCAGTTGTTTTGGGATGGAGAGTTGTATATACATATACATATACATATACATATATATATATATATATATATATATATATATATATATATATATATCAGGTCCATTTGATCCAGTTCTGAGTTCAGGCTTTGAATATCTTTGTTAATTTTCTGTCTCAATGATCTATCTAATATTGCCTGTGGGGTGTTAAAGTCACCCACTATTATTGTGTGGGAGCCTTAAGTCTCTTTTAAAGTCTCCAAGAACTTGCTTTATAAATCTTGGTACTCCTGTGTTGTGTGCATATATATTTAGAGTAGTTAATCTTTTCTTGTTGAATTGAACCCTTTACCATTATATAATGCCCTTCTTTGTCTTCTTTGATCATTGTTGATTTAAAGTCTATTTTGTCAGAAACTAGGATTGCAACCTCTGGTTTTTGCTGTTTCTATTTACTTGATAGATTCTTCTCCATCCCTTTATTTTGAGACTATGGGTGTCATTGAATGTGAGATGGGTCTCTTGAAAAGACCATATCAATGTATCTTTTTTTTTTTAAATCCAGATTGCCACTCTGTGTCTTTTAGGTGTGGCATTTAGTCCATTTAGATTTTAGGTTAGTATTGATATGTTTGGATGTGATCCTGTCATCATGATGTTTTGCAGACTTGTTTATGTGGTTGCTTTATAGTGTCACTGGTCTGCGTACTTTAGTGTGGTGTTGTAGTGGCTGGTGATGGTCTTTCCTTTCCATATTTGGTGTTTCCTTTAGGACTTCTTGTAAGGCAAGTCTGGTGGTAACAAATTACTTCAGCATTTGTTTGTCTGAAAAGGATATTTCTTCTTCACTTATAAAGCTTAGTTTTACCAGATATAAAATTCTGGTTGGAATTTCTTTTTTTTCTTTTTCTCTTTTCTTTTCCTTTTTCTTTGAGACAGCATCTCACTCTATCACCCAGGCTAGAGTGCAGTGGTGCTTCGCAGCTCACAGCAATGTCTGCCTCCTGAGTTTCAGCAATTCTCGTTCTTCAGCCTTCCAAGTAGCTGAGATTACAGGCATGCACCACCACGCCTGGCTAATTTTTGTATTTTTAGTATAGATAGGGTCTCGCCATGTTGGCCAGGCTGATCTCAAACTCCTGGCTTCAAATCATCCACCTGCCTTGGCCTCCCAAAGTACTGGGATTACAGGTGCGAGCCACCATGCTTTTTTCTCTATTCTTGTCTGACTGTCTTATTTCAGAAAGGCAGTCCTCAAGCTCTGAAATTCTTTCCTCTGCTTGTTCTACTCTGCTATTAATACTTGTGATTGCATTATTAAATTCTTGTAGTGTAATTTTCAGCTCTATCAGGTCAGTTACGTTCTCTATACTGGTTATTTTGTCTCTCAGCTCCTGCAATACTTTATCATGTTTTTTAACTTCCTTGTGTTGGGTTACAATGTACTCCTGTAGCTCAGTGAACTTCATTTCTGTCCATATTTTGAATTCTACTTCTGTCATTTCAGTCATCTCAGCCTCTGTCGGTCACTGACCTTGCTAGAGAGGTGATGCAGATATTTGAAGGAAAGAAGGTACTCTCGCTTTTTGAATTTTCAGCATTCTGGTGCTGATTCTTCCTCATCTTTGTGGTCTAATCTACCTTCAATCTTTGAGGTTGCTGACTTTTGGATGGACTTTTTTTTTCCTTTTATTCTGTTTGATGACCTTGAGCATTTGATTGTGGTTTAAGGTGGATTCAGCTAACTGGCTTCATTTCTGGACAATTTTCACAGGCCAGTGTTCAGCTCCCAACTCCTGGACTATGTGCTCTAACTCTGAGAGACTTTTCTTGAACCCCCACTTTGTTCTCTGACTCCTTAAGGTTTGGAGTCTACTGTGCTGGGGGTGGGAAATGAGGTGCTGCAGCTACATCCAAGTGCTAGGGAATGCAGTGGTGCCTGCCTCCCTGTGAGTGTTCACCACAGTGGTGGAAGCAAGGCAGTTGGTAGGGAGCGGGAGGACTCTGCTGGAGGTTGTGTGCACTGTTGAACTGAAGGTGGTGGTGGTGTTGGTTTGGGGTGGGGTGCTGGCCAGTGCAGATCTGGGTGCCTTCTCTGTGTCCTGCAAGCAGGAGTGATTGCTTAGGATGCAGAAGGATCTCTTGTTCTCCATGCAGCATTAGTGCAAAAGCAGGGTGCTGGCATGGTGGAGCTTGCTGGTTCTATGCCTGTCAAAGCTCTGTCTGCAATGGCGGTGAGCAGGGGTCAGAGGACACACTGTACTCCCGTGTGGTTGCAGGGCAAGTAAAGCAAAACATGCCTGTGCAGACATGCATCAGCAAAGTAATATGGGGAGTTTCCGTGGGCTCAGAGGAAGCTGCAGTATGGGGAGGGAATGTGCCAGCTGGTGCGTGGACATAAGGGCTGCCTTGCTGGAGCCCTCCATTGATCACATACTGTCCACTGTCTGAAAAGCTATGGTGTGGGCCCCCGGGGCATGTGAGACTGCCCTGTAAGCAGGTATGGCTAGGCTGGTGTCCCAGAAGAGGCCAGCAGACCAAGGAGTGTTCAGGTTGGACTAGCCCTATCTGATGTGCAAGACCACCCTGCAGAAATCAGGTCTGATAATTCCCCTAGGCATAAAGTCTCTTATGGGAGCAAGTTAAGTCTAGAGGGTTGGCTACAGACACACCTGCACAAAACCCTCTGGGCTCCATATCATCTGGCTTGCTGCTCCACCACTTTACTTATCTCCTGGGGGCCCCACCCCAGAGAGATGTTGTTCAGTAATTGCTCAGTGCAATCAGCCCAGAATGGAGGGTCTGTGCTGTGGGCCTAAACCAGGGGTTCCCTGTGTGGCAGTAAGCAATGAGATGTGTGGGGGACCCATGGGAGATGTAGTGGCCTCCTTTCCTTGGGTTGACTGCAGCTTATTGGAAGTGTGAATGAGGCACAAAGGGTGCTTGCTCCTTTGTTAGTGAGAGGGTAGCAAGGATGGCTTCGTGTTAGATGCAGTGGCAAAGAGGCTTTCAGTTGCCCCTGGAGGCTCTGTCCAGGGAGTTGCTGAGTTGATACTGGCTGAATAGCTCTGGTAAGGGGTGGCTAGAGGACCTGACTGGTGAGAAGATATGGGAACAAGTACCCATGTAACAGTCTGGCCAATTTTCTGTAGGGCTGTTGCAGAATGCTGGGGGTCTGCTCCAGTGCTTAGTCGCCTCAGATTTTCCAGTACCTGGAGGTATCACAGTGAAGGCTTGCAAAACAACAAAGATGGCAGTCTGCTCCTCCCTCTAGGACCTCTGTCCCAGGGAGGTACAGGCCTGTTGCTCACCCACATGCACCTGTAAGAGGTGGCTGAAGACCAAAATTGGAAGGTCTCACCCAGTCAGGAGAAATGGGATTGAGGACCCACATATAAAAGTAGTCTGGCCACGTTTTTGTAGAGCAGCTGTGCTGTGCTGGATGTCCATTTCAGTCTCTGGTCACCTTGGATACTCTGAAACCTGAGGGCTGGAATAACTAGCCCAAATAGCAAAGATGGCGGCCCACCCCTTTCCCTGGGAGCTCCATTCCAGGGAGACCTGAAACCTCTATCAGCTGGAGAACACCAGTAGGAGTAGCCAGAGACCCTGATTGGGATACTTTACCCAGTGATGAGGAATGGGATTGGGGACCCACTCAAAAAGCAGTCTGGACATGTTTTTGTAGGGAAGCTGTGCTGTGCTGGGGTACTGCTTCCATCCCTGGTCAGCTTGGGCTTTCCAAAGCCCAAAGGCTGGAACAGCTAGTTACCAAAACAGCAAAAGTTACAGCCCACCCCTCTCTCTGGGAGCTCAAACCCAGGGAGGCGCAATGCTGCTACTTGTTGCTGGCTGGAATTCCAAGCCAGTGGGTCTTATCCTGTGAGGAGCTGTGGAAGCGGGGCCTGTAGGCCATTATTGCTCTGCCTTCTGGATTCAACATCTTTCCTAGTGGTAGGTACAGGAGTCTAACCACCCACTTTTCTGGAGTTGAAGCTACTTTTGCTGGTTTGCCCGAAAAGCTGGAGTATCTAAAGCTCCTGGGTCTCTGCGTATGCCTGAGTGGTTGCTCTGCTGAGACTCCACATAGCTCCTGACACATGTTTATGCGTCAGACTGAAGGCCCTTAGTGGAGCAGGTTCATGAGGGATCCTCCTGACCTGAGGGTTTCAAAAATCTGTGGGAGCAGCATGGGTTCCCGGAGTGGCACATTCACTCACTGCTTCTCTGTGCAGTGGAGCTTCCCTTGGCTCTGTGTTGCTCCTGCATGAGCCGGTGTCCTGCCTTGCTTTTCTCTGTCTCCGTGGGTCACGTTGTTTCCAAGATTAGACCCAATGTAAGTACCTGAATGTTTCAGTTGAAGGTGTTGTATTTACTCACCCCTTCCATTCCTTTCCGTGAGAGCCATGCCGTTTAGCTGCTTCTAGTCAGCCCGTTTGGCCACTCTACTCACATCTTCTTAAACACTTGGACTAAAACCCACTTCTGGGATAAATTTATCTCTTGTTTTACATGCCCTTTCCCTGAATCTCTCAGTGTGTATTATACAACTTACATTAATCCTGTAATTATTGATTTATTGCTTTTTGTTTCTTACTACCCTAAAAACCACATAATTTATTAATTTGCTCATCCCTAACCATCACTTAGAGGACCCACTTGCACTGTAATATATAATTATCTAGATCGAACTAACTTGTTTGTAGTTACTTTTAAATTGTGCTTTTATTATTTTTTTTTCCCTACTCAAATGGATTTTAACTTTCTTAAATTTAGAGATTAAGTCTTCAGTTGGAATCCACTACTGGTCACAATACATCATTGTTAATTATAATTATTTATTTTTATTAATCAAATTAGACTCTGAGAACAATTTTCTTCTGACTTTTGTAGATTGATGGAGAGGCCAAAGTCTTTCTAATATATCTTTCATGGCATAGAAAGAACTTCCAGAATTTTGCTTTATGCAGATCTAGAAGTAGACAGGTTCATTTTTGCTTGCAAACTAGCCAAATTTTTTTCTAATTAATCTCTTTGAATACTTTCTCAATGCAGAACATCAGAACAGGATATACTATTACCCTGACTCTGACTCTTTGGAGCTGCATATTCAGTGGGCATATGGTTTTCCTTCCAATTTATAGCAGGCAAGAGTGTTAATAAATGTTTTGCCACTGCCTATAATGGGCCTTCATATTTTCAGCCTCCAAGTCAGTTACCTTTCTGCTCACTGCATGACCATTAAACTTATACATGTATTTTAGGTTTCTGCTATGGCAGGTATTTTTTGTTTCAAAGAACGAATTTCTGTTAAATAAAGTTATAGTAGCTATTGTAACAAATAAATCCTCAAATATGAGTGGTTTAACATTTATATAAAGTGAAAAACATAGGTTACCAATTAGCTGGGAGCTCTCATCCAAGTGGTGATTCAGTAATCCAGGCTCCTTTCATTTTGTGGCTCCTCTATATTCAACATATAACTACTGAAGTCATTGCTGACAGCAGCATGGGAAATCCCAGTAGGAATTTTTTTATGGGATAACCTTGGAAGTATTGCCCAACACTTCCTCCTAAATTCTATTGTTCAGAAATCAGACACAAAATCTCACTTAAGCAAGGAAGCCTGAAAAATGTAGTAGAACTGTGTGATTAGGAGAAAGTAATGGGTTTGGTGAGTACGTATTAGTATCTCTCACATTGGGAGAAATGGCTTTTTATATGTTTTTAAGAAACAAATTTTGTTATCTTTCTCTCCATTGGCTCCATTGCCCCAGCAAAGTAGTAGAACAAAAATAATATATTTTAAAATTTAACATTATATATTAATGATAATGCTTAAACAGTTGTATTTACCTGTTTCTAAAAGAAAAAAAAAAAGAGAGAGGCAAAGCAAGATGGCAGAATAGAAAGCTCCACTAATCATTGCCCCAGCAAAGACACCAAGTTAACAAAAGAAAAATCTATATAAGAACCAAAAATTAGGTATCTGGTATTAAATTCATATTGCTGGAAGAGGCACTGAAGTGATAGAAAAAAACGTCCAGAATCGCTGGTGCCACCCCTCCCCCACCCCAGGCTTGGGGGCATGGTGCAGAGAGCTTCTCTGGGTGCTGGGGGAAGAAGAACACAGCAATTGTGAGGCATTGAACACAGTATTGTTCTGTTAGAACAGAAAGGAAAATCAGACCAAACTTAGCTGATTACCACCCACACAGGGAGCATTTAAACCAGCCCTAGCCAGATGGGAATCACCAACCTCAGTGATCTGAACTTGAGTGTCTGCAAACCTCACCATGAAGGGCAAAGTGCTCTCAGTCTCTAAGTAAACTTGAAAGGCAGTCTAGGCCACAAAGACTTCAAATCTCAGGTGAGTCCTAAGACTGAAGTGGCCACAGAGACAGTAGACTGCAGAGGCACACAACATACTGAGACACCAGCTAGGGAAGCAAAAGGAGTGCTCCTATCACCTAACTCCAAGGTGCACAGATCATGGCTCCAAAAGAGACACCTTCCTTTCTTTTGAGGAGAGGAGAGGGAAGAGTGGGGAGACTTTGTCTCGCATCTTGGATAGCAGCCCAAACACAGTAGGATAGGGTACCAACCTGAGTCATGAGTTCCCCTATCCCAGGCCCTAGCTCCTAGGTGACATATTTATACACGCCTTGGGCCAGAAGGGAACCGGTTGCTTTGAAGAAAAGAACCCAGTCCTGTCAGCATTCATTGCCTCCTAAGTGAAGAGCCTTGGGCCCTGAATAACCAACAGCAATACCTGGTACTATAGTGAGGGCCTTGGTGAGTCTCTGAGATGTGCTGGCTCCCAGGAGAAACTTAGCACATTATTAGCTGAGGTGGTTAGGGGGCAAAACTCTTTCTGCTTGAGAAAAACTGAGAGAAAAGTAAAGGGGACTTTGTCTTATATCCTAGGTACCAACAACACAACAGGTAGGTAGAACACCAAGTGGGCTCTTGGAGTCCCTGATTCCAGGACTTGACTCTTGGATGGCATTTCAGGACCAGCCCTGGGACAGAAGGGAAACCACTGCATTAAAGGGTGAGTCCCAGGCCACGGAGCATTCACCACAAGCTGACTAAAGTGACCCTGGGCCTTAACTAAACATCTGTGGTAGTCTTGCAGTATTCCTTATGGCCAGGGGTGGTGGTGGAGCTCCAATATGTCTGGAAGCAGACTTTTTAGTGGAAACCTTATGGGCCAGGAGAGAATGGCATGACATATTTAAAGTACTGAAGAAAAACAAACAAAAACAAACAAACAAACAAAAAATCTTTAATTCTAGAATAGTATACCCAGCAAAACTACCCTTCCAACATGAAGAAGAAATAAAGGTTTTCTTAGACAAATGAAAGCTGAGGAAATTCATCAATACCAGACCTGTCCTAAAAGCAATGCTAAAGGGAATACTTCAATTAGAAAGAATAGGACATTAATGAACAATAAGTAATCAATTAAAGGTACAAAACTTACTGGTAATAGTATGTACACAGAAAAACAGAATATTATAACACCGTAACTTTGGTTGAGTAAACTGCTCTAATCCTAACTAGAAATACTAAATAATGAACCAATCAAAAATAATAGCTCCAACAACTTTTCAAGACATAGGCAGAAAAATAATATACAAATAGAAAGAACAAAAAGTTAAAAAGCAGGAAGATAAAGTTAAGGTGAGATTTTATTAGTTTTCTTTTTTAATTTTTTGTTTGTTTCTTTATGTGAATAGTGTTGAGCTTTTATCAGGATAAAATAATGGGTTATAATACAGTATTTGAAAGCCTCATGGTAACCTCAACCTAAAAATATAAAATAGGCACACAAAAGTTAAAAAGCAAGTAAGTAAATCATATCATCAGAGAAAATGATCCTCACTAGTGGAAGACAGGGAGGAAAGAAAGAAGAAAGAGAAGATCACAAAACCACCAGAAAAAATAAAAATTAAAAAATGTCAGGAGTAAGCTCTTACTTATCAATAATAACATTAAATGTAAATGCACTGAACTCTGCCTGAATGCATGAAAAAACAAGGCCAACTGATCTGTTGCCTATGAGAAACACACTTCAACCATAAAGACACACATAGACTAAAAATAAAGGAAAAGAAAAAATATTCCATGCCAATGGAAATCAAAAAAGGGCAGGAGTCACAATATGTATATCAGACAACATAGATTTCAAGATGAAAACTATAAGAAGAGAAAAGGAAGGTCATTATATAATGACAAAGAGGTCCATTCAGCAAGAGGATATAATAATTTGAAATATATATGCACCCAACACTGGAGCACACAGATGTATAAAGCGAATATTTTTAGAGCTAAAGAGAGAGATAGGCCCTTATACAATTATAGCTGGAGACTTCAACACCTCATTATTACTTATTGTTCACTTCCAGCATTGGACAGCTCTTCCAGACAGAAAATCAACAAAAAAACCCATCAGACTTAATCCGCGCTATGAACTAAATGGATTTAATAGATATTTACAGAACATTTCATTGAAGAGCTGCAAAATACATATTCTTTTTCTCAGCACATGGATAATTCTCAAGAATAGACAATATGTTAGGTCACAAAAGAATTCCTGAAACATTAAAAAAAGAAATAATATAAAGCATCTTCTCTGACCACAATAGAATAAAACTAGAAATTAATAACAAGAAAAATTTTGGAAACTATACATGGAAATTACATGGAAATTTAAAAATATGCTACCGAATGACCAGTGAGTCAATAAAGAAATTAAGAAAGAAATTGAAGTTTTTCTTGAAACAACTGATAATGAAAATACAACATACCAAAACCTATCAGATACAGCAAAAGCAGTGCTGAGAGGAAAATTAAGGGGTGTAAGTGCCTACGTCAAAAAAAGAGAAAAAACTTCAAATAAACAATCTAATAATGCATATTATCAATCTAGAAAAGCAAGAGTGAATCAAATCCAAAATTAGTAGAAGAAAAGAAATAACAAAGATTAGAACAGAAATAAATAAAATTGAAATAAATATAGAAATTAATGAAACAAAAAGTTGTTTCTTTGAAAATTTAAACAAAATTGACAAAACTTTATCCAGACTAAATAAGAAAAAGAGAGAAGCTACAATAAATAAAATCAGAAATGAAAAAGGAGGCATTACACCTGACATTGCAGAAATTCAAAGGATTATTAGTGACAACTATGAGTACCTATATGCCAATAAATTTTAAAAATCCAGAAGAAATGGACAGATTCTGGTTCAACCTGCCAAGACTGAACCAGAAAGAACTCTAAAACATGAACAGACCAATAACAAGTAATGAGATTGAAGCCATAATAAAGACTCTTCCAGAAAAAAAAAGAAGTCCTGCACACTGATGGCTTTACTGCTGAATTCTACCAAACATTTAAAGAAGTAATGTAAATCCTATTCTCCTATTAAAACTATTCTGAGAAACAGAGAAGAAATGAATTCTTCCAAATTCATTTCAAGAGTCCAGTATTACCCAGAAACAAAAACATGACAAAGACACATTAAAAAAAATACTATAGACCAATATCCTATAGGCCAATATCTCTGATAAATACTTATACAAAAATCCTCAACGAAATCCTATCAAACTAAATTCAATAATACATTAGAAAGATCATTCAACATGACCAAGTGGGATTTATCCCTTGGATGCAAGGATGGTTCAACATATGCAAATCAATCAATGTGATACATCACATGAACAGAACTGAAAACAAAACCACATGAGTATCTTAATTGATGGTGAAAAAGCATTAGCTAATGTTTAATATTCATTCATGATAAAATCCTTAAAAAAAACTGGGTGTAGAAGGAACATACTTCAACATAATGAAAGCCATGTATGACAGACCCACAGCTAGTATCATACTGAATAGGAAAAAAAAAAATGGAAAGCCTTTTCTCTAAGATCTGAAGCAGCACAAGGATGTGCACTGTCACTACCATTATTCAACATAGTACCAGAAAGCCTAGCTAGAAGAATCAGACAAGAGAAAGACATAAAGGACATCCAAATTGAAAAGGAAGAAGTCAAGTTATCCTTGCTTGCTGATTATATGATCTTATATTTAGAAAAACCTAAAGACTCCACAAAAATTATTAGAGCTGATTTTAAAAATCAGTAATGTTGCAGAACACAAAATCAACACACAAAAATCAGTAGCATTTCTATATGCCAACAGTGAACATGTGAAAGGGAATTTAAAAGTTATCCAATTTACAGTAGCCACGCATACAATAAAATACTTAGAAATTAACTTACCCAAACAAGTGAAAGATCTCTATAATGAAAATTATAAAACATTGATGAAAGAAATTGAAGAGGACACCAAAAAATGAAAAAATATTTTATGTTCATGGGTTGGAAGAATCAATATTGTTAAAATGTCCTTATTTCCCAAAGCAATCTACAGATTAAATGAAATCCCTGTCAAAATACCAATGACATTCTTTGCAGAAATAGAAAAAAAAAAACCGTGAAATGTATATGGAACCACCAAAGACCCAGAATAGTATATGCTATCCTGAGCAAAAGGAACAAAACTGGACAACTCACATTGTCTGACTTCAAATTTTACTACAGAGCCATGGTAACCAAAACAGCATGCTGGCAAAAAAGCAGACACATAGATCAATGGAACAGAATAGAGAATTCAGAAGCAAATTCGCACAGCTACAATGAATTGATTTTTGACAAAGATGCCAAGAACATACACTGGGGAAAAAATTGTCTCTTCAACAAATGATGCTGGGGAAACTTGATATCCATATGAAAAGAATGAAACTAGACCCTGTGAAAGGAAAATAAATCTTTGGACCCCCAAATCACTAAGCTAAAGGAAAAAAGTCAAGCTGGGAAATGCTTAGGGTAAACCTGCCTTCCATTCTATTCAAAGTCATCCCTCTGCTCACTGAGACAAATGCATATCTGATTGCCTTCTTTGGAAAGCTTAATCAGAAACTCAAAATAATGTAACCATTTGTCTCTTATCTACCTATGACCTGAAAGCCCCCTCTCAACTTCAAGTAGTAATGCCTTTGCTTTGAGTCGTCCTGCCTTTCTGCACCAAACGAATGTTTCATCTTACATATATTGATTAATGTCTCATGTCTCCCTGAAATGTATAAAACCAAGCTGTGCTCGGACCACCTTGGGCACACGTGGTCAGGACCTCCTGAGGCTGTGTAATGGGTGTGCATCCTTAACTTTGGCAAAATAAACTTCCTAAATGGACTGAGACCAGTCTCATTTATTTGGGGTTCACAACCCCTCTCTCTCCCCATATATAGAAATCAAATCAAAATGAATTAAAGGTTTAAATCTAAAACCTCAAACCATGAAACTACTGCAAGGAAACATTGGGGAAACTCTTCAGGACATTGGTCTGGGCAAAAATTTCCTGAGCAGTACCCCACAAGCACAGGCAACCAACGCAAAAATGAACAAATGGGATTACATTAAGTTAAACAGCTTCTTCGCAGCAAAATATACAATCAAGAAAGTGAACAGGCAACCCACAGAATGGGAGAAAACATTTGCAAACTACCCATCTGAGAAGAGATTAATAACCAGAATATATAAGTAGCTCAAACAACTGTAGAGGGAAAAAAATATAATCTGATCAAAAAAGTGTACAAAATATTTGAATAGACATTTCTCAAAAGAAGACATACAAATTGCAAACAAGCATATGAAAAGGTGCTAAACATCATTGATCATCACAGAAACGCAAATCACAACTACAATGAGAGAGATATCATCTCGCTCCGTTAAAATGGCGTATATCCAAAAGACAGGCAATAACAAATACTGGCAAGGATGTGGAGAAAAAGGAACCCTTATACACCATAGATGGGAATAGGAATTAGTAAAACCACTCTAGAGAACAGTTTGGAAGTTTCTGAATAACCTAAAAATTGAACTACTCTGATTCAGCAATCCCACTGCTGAGTATATACACCAAAGAAAGGAATTCAGTATATCAAAGTGATATCTGCATTCCCATGTTTGTTGCAACACTGTTAACAGTAGCTAAGATTTGGAAGCAACCTAAGTGTTCATCAACAGATGAATGGATAAAAAAGTGCCAAATGTTGCTCATGTAGTCATCTAATTCACTACACTGAGTTTTAGTATCAAGAAAACACCATGACAGCAAAGTTTCCTTGTTTTTTATGGCATAACGGTATTCATGAGATAACTCATCATCTCTTTTATGAAACTAAGACTGGGATGCTTATGGCGTTTTGCAATTGTAGTACTCATTAGAGACACTCTTGTTGGCAGTTTTCTAGCCACATGAAGCTCCAGTAACAACAGTGTTCAGGAATAATAGAGGTTATATTAGAAGTACAGATTTTACAAATCAAACCTAAAACATTTTGTCATTTTATGTTAAAATCATACAGCTAGTGATTATAATTAAGTTTCTAACTATTTAAAAGGCAGTAAGTAATTTTATGTTGTCATTTTTTAAACAAAAGAACCTCTTAAACCTCAATGGCAATATTGATCACATAAAATCAAAAGTGTACCCATCTTGTGATATCATTGGTCTGTCACAACTGATTACCCCATTAACAAAAACTAAATACTGAGTTCCACAGGCAGCTGTGCTAAGTATTGTTTAAAGGCATTAAGCACTTACTGGAATTAATGAATCATATTTGAAGGTAAAAGAAACAAATTTTCTTCAAATTTCATCTAGGTGTATACAATAGAGAATTTACAAATTTGGAAGCTCAGAATAGAGCAGTTCTGTTTTTATATTTTACCTCAAATGTTGAGAGGCAAATAACAGTTACATAGCTGAGTGATTATTGATCCATCTTCATATTGGCTTTTCAAACCAGATAAACTAACATTAAATTCGCAAAGATCACAGACTGAAAATTTGTAATATTCTTGAGTGACCTGTAAGAAAAAGGATTAGTGGTTTCTGTTATAGACATTAATGTTATTGAAAAGTTTGGTGAAGGGAGTAGTCTTACCGACTTTCTTCATTCTGATAGCAGAATTGAGCTAGGTCCTTTAAGAACAAAGCTTTTATATGCAGAGGCTTTATCTGTAAGGCTCCACTGCTTTATTGTTTTTAGATACAGTAAAACCAGGATATAAAAATGAGGTCTAAATAATTGTTCCGAGTCTAAATGGTGACTATATTAAAAGGTATATATTAATTTACATGATTGCTACAGCTTTATGCTTAATATGCAAATTATTACAGTAGTGTATATGGTATCAAACATAAAAGAAGTTTTGTCATGACTGTAAATGTGCAGTTAATGTATAGATTCTTATTAAAGAAAAGGATGAGCATAATAAAAATAAACATGAGATTTCTTTAGTTATTGTATTATTTAATCAGTAGCTCAAATTAATGTTTGAGCACTTGCCAATGAGTTGTAGAAGTAGCAAAATAAGTTTTAGAAAATAAGTTCGTGAAACTGTGAGTATGAAAGAGATCTCATATCAAAAGTCAATAAAAAGGAAATAGATTTGGTATAATATTGTTTCATATTGCCTTCTTTTCCTTGAAAAATGTTATTTTCCAAAAATTGTTTATTCATGACATTCAATAAGTGATGAACAACTGGCTATAGGTGGCTTATAATAATCTTTTCAACCTTCAGTTGAAAATGTAATTTTCTAAATCTCAGAGGAAGAGAAACCATCCTAATATAATGTCTCATCTTCAGCTCTACAGGTTGAAGATTTGTTGCATTTTAAAAAGTCTCACCCTGATGGGAGAAGAATGCAAGATAAACTTTATTACTGTAAAGCAATTAAGTGAAAATTAGACAATCACAAGGTGGGAAAAGCTGATTAATTAGAAGACCAGAAAAGCACAGCAGGCTTCTGAGATGAAGTACTTATGAAATAGCAAGTATATGTAATAGTGTTTATGATAGAGTCAACATTCATTGCAAAGTTACTGAATATTAGAATAATGATATCTTTTTGAAAACATAAATTGGTACATTTTGGGAAAAGGATGACCTTATAAATCTTAGATCTGAAGAAATTTATTTTTTATTCACTTCGTTTTCACTTCCCTTCTTCTGCTCCCTTTAAAGGTCTTCTTAAGCAATAATTTTTTTTTTGCTCTTTATGTGTATTAAAGAATATACACATATTCCATTTTACATTAATTCATTTTTTAGTAGAACTAAACTCATTCCATCATAAAAGGTCATATTTAAGAAACCAAAATGTATTCTAGAGTAGTTATGCTGATGAATAATTTTAGACACTAGTTCAGAGGCTGAGAAAGGAAACGTAAGTCTGTAAAATTTGAACTATGTCTCACTTTGCACCCTTATTGAATACTTCATGTTAAAACCATATGATGACAGTTTTTAAAGCTATTCCAATATGTATTCACAAGACCGTCCTATGAGTTTCATTAGCTATTGTGAAATTATGTTTTTAGTACATTAATTCTTTGTACTATTAGTACCAAAAGAAGCCTCATAAATGTAAAATATTAAAAATGTTACTGTAAAATAAGCAATATTGAATATTTTTAATTCTTTCTTGGGAATCTTAATCCCTTGTCACCAGATAGAAGTCATCTAATCTGGCAAAGCTGTCAAGAGTTGGTATCTGGCCACTATTTCCATTTTAATAAATTAATTTTTAGACAAAATTAAAGTCTTTTGTTTACTTAAACCTAAATACTGATCAATAAACTGTCCCATCTGAAATAAATAATTTCCAGTAATCAAATTATTATTAGTTTTGGGCTTGGCCAATAATCTTCTTCTTAAAGGGGATAGTAATCTCTATTGAAACAGTGGTGCTGTGAAATTGAATATGAGATTTTCATGAGAAGGAGACAGGTAGGATAAAAAAACACCTAAAAGTAGAATTTGCTTTGAGGAGACATTCTAAAAGAATGTCTAGTTACTGGTTTTATTTCCAAACAATCATTTTACATAATTTATCATTTCCTACCTTATGGAAGTAAACACTTTGATAGTTGCTGAGATGTTTATGAACAATATAGGTGGAATTTATTCTGACTATAGGTTAGGAACTTTGTTGTTAACAATTAATTTGTTCCATAGACTATTAAAAACATGAAGATAAAGTAGTCATGTATAGAGTAGAATGTTTTCCTCTTTCATTGTCAAGCTGCCATTGTAATTACCTTATATTTTGCTTAAGAAATGCACTCAGAGACTATTGCAGTTTAGTGGCACATCATAAAATGTAGCTACAAGCAGAACTACTTGAGAACAAGTGAACAAGTTACCATAAATTAATAATAGCAAAAGCAATTGTGCACACAACTCCTTTGGGAAACTGAAGATTTGTCTGGAAGAAACATTCAATAATGAAACTAGCAGGCTGTCAGTATGTTCTTAAAACATTTCAAATATTTAAACAGATTTTGTATTATTATATTCAGAACTTTAAAAAGGCAACCACACCTAAATGCTCCCCCTTATGACATTTTGTTTTTACCGAAACCTAGCTAATTTTTGTGTATGTTTGGGAATGGGGTATGTGGAGATTTCCTAGACACTCTTCCTGTGTATGTATTCATTCTGATAGGGGAGGGGAAGAAAATAATCATATATTTAGCTTGGTAATACCTTGGCCATGTGTTACAGTGTCTGAACTTTCATAAAACTGGCATTTTTGCTAATGCTCTTATGAAAATCCATTTGAAAGTGACTCAATGTTCTTGTAGTCCATATATATATTTGTTTGTATGTTCTGTTTTGTTTTGTTTTGTTTTTTGAGACGGAGTCTCACTCTGTTGCCCAAGCTGGAGTGCAGTGGCGCGATCTTGGCTCACTGCAAGCTCCGCCTCCCGGGTTCACACCTTTCTCCTGCCTCAGCCTCCCACGTGGCTGGGACTACAGGCGCCCGCCACCATGCCTGGCTAATTTTTTGTGTTTTTAGTAGAGACAGAGTTTCACCGTGTTAGCCAGGATGGCCTCGATCTCCTGACCTCGTGATCCGCCCGCCTTGGTCTGCCAAAGTGCTGGGATTACAGGCATGAGCCACCGTGCCCGGCCATATTTTTAAAAACCTAATATTTTGTTCAGATTCAAACATCACATTTGAAATCTTACTCTGAATTCAAAAAGTATTTTCCACCTCTACTTTAAAATATAATTAAGCACATGTGCTTTTTATTACACTATTACACATGTATTCAGCCTCTTATTTAGTGGTGGGACTACAGAGATGGAATAAACACCCAATTCTACCTGTGTTCGATGCAGTTTACTTACCATGAAGTAAGCATGAAAATATAATTTCATTGCAATGTGTGAATTGCCATGGAAGGTATGAGAAAATTGGTTCAGAAAAAAGGAAAGATTGACAAATACTTTCTAAGAGGGTCAGAAAAACATGTATTAAAAAGTTGAGGTTTGTTCAGTGTCCCAAAGGATAAACACTTCACCTAGTATATCCACACACACACACAGAAAGTGTCTTTGAGGTTTTTTTAATAAAGTAATTCCCCTAAATTTATTCATGGAATGTTTTTGACCACTTTGTCAGTGCTTTACATGAATTTGAATAAAAATTTAAAGTATACTTTGGAAAATAAAGAAGTATTTTTCAAAAAGAGTTAAATAAAATTACATTAATTATTATTTTTTTAAATGCAACTTTTCACATAATTGACTCCCAGAGTGGAAACCAGTTCCTGTTAATTAGTTGTTACTTTAGGTCGGTTGGCCTTAGGAAGCAAGCTCATATGTTGGTCATTATAACTAGAGGTAGTACACTTTGCAAACACGATTTGTTCCTTCAGTTGCTTCACTTTCTTTTACAAATGAATGTATTCCTCCTTCTGGGAGGCAGTATATTGTTGTGGATAAGAGCAAGTATCAAGAACAAATCTATCTGCATTTGAGCATCTTTATATCATTTACTAGCAACATAATCATGGGCAAGTTACTTGCAGTCTCAGAGTCTGAGATTGCTCACTTCTGAAATAATGATACTAGTATGTCTTTATATATATTAAATTATTTAACATCCATAAAACCTGTGGGGCATAGTATTGGCCACAATATGTCATTTCGTTTATTTTAATACATACAAGCATTTTCTTTTTGTCTTCAACTTTAAGTCTACTTCACTCTCAGAATTCTCTTAATATTTTTATCTAAAATAGTATGTTCTATACTTTTCTGCCAATACTGAACCTTTTTTTTGAAGATGAGTTTAGAAACAACTGTTTGCTGTTGCTATTTACAAAAGTTAATGTAGAATGCATGTTGAAGTTACAATGCAATATAATTACCTCCACCAATAGAAACAAATCACCCTTGGAGTATATAAAAAATCCTCAGTCATTTCTTACTGCCTAACATGTTTTTTTTTAATGATAGTTAGGAGCATAAATTTCATTTATTTGTCTCTTTGATGATATGTTTTTTCTTTTTGAATGGAAATATGTGCAAATAATATATAGGTAAATCTTTAAAACATAGATAGTAAATAGCTTAAATGTAAATGATATTAACACATTTCAAGAACAAAAAAAGCTAAATATTTATTACATTTGTATAAACCTGTAAATTTCACATAACACACATTGAAGAAATGAAAACTACAGCAAAAAAAAACCTACATCCACAGATATGTATCTGTCATGTGCCAAATCTTTTTATTTTTCCTGAATTTTACAAAATGAAGTATTATCTGGTATCTTCAAGCTTTATAACTATCAAATGGTCTATATGAATCCGTGGTTTATAGCTATTGATCATATATTTGAATACAGTTATGTGTTGATTAATGACAGGAATACGTTCTGAAAAATGCATCATTGGAAAATTTTTTTTTCATTGTGTGAACATCATAGAGTGTACTTACGTAAATCTTGATGGTACAGCCTACCACACACCTAGGCTACATGTTATAGTCTATTGCTCTTACACTACAAACCTGTATACAATGTTACTGTATTGAATCCTGTAGGCAACTGTAACACAATGGCAAGCATTTCTATATCTAAATATATCTAAACATAGAAAAAGTATGATAAAAAATGGTATTATAATCTGATGGGGCCACTATCATATATCAGCTATCATTACTATAATACTTAAACAAAATATTGGCATATTATTGTATATCATTATGTTGTGCATAAGTGTATCAAATATATGATAGAAGATTTTATCAGATATCAACAATTAGAGGGCATGGTAACAATTGCCTATAGAAAGTATGGTATGTTTTTATTGACATGCTCAAGAGGATTGTAAAGGCACATGTCAACCTTATTATATAAATGAAAATATCTTCCTATTTCTTGAGTTACTCAGTGCACTGGGTGGGAGGCTATAGTCTTTAAGAATAATTGACAGTGATAGACTGAAATATTCTACACAGTTAACTGACTTTATGAGGTTTAATTCTCAGTTCAGAGGCTTACAGTAATAACTATGGCACATACACTGAATTATCATAAATGCTCATGGTAGCAGCACTAATGAAAAAATGACGTGATGCATATCGGGCTACTAAAAGTCAGGAACAAGTAAGGCTAAAGAAAGAAAATGAGAAACTTATAAGGAGCTTAATGCAATGTTCAAACTATCCAAAGGCGAACACTCATTTGCTGCTTAATCTATTAATATATATAAACCCATGGATATTAAAGAAAGTACATAATATGCCAATTCTGTTTCAAAATATTTTACATGCTGTGAAAAAAAATTGACTTAATATAATAAAAACGCTGGTTTATTATGGCTAATAATGTTAATGAGCCTTTCATAACTTTGCCCAGGGCACTACTATGACTGCCAGTAACAAAAAAATTAGCCATTGAGTTTCTCTGAACAGCTATCATTACCATAATACTTAAACAAAATATTGTCTTGATTTGAGTGCAGCACAGAACTTTCTATATTACTTTATAAAAATCTTAAAATATTCTATTTTTGCAGAGAAAGAGATTTTTAAATGTTTCTCAATTATTAATGGGAAGTTAACTGCAAAGATGACACAGATACTTATTTACAGTATGTAAAAAATCAAGAATATTTATTTTTGGAAGGCTAAACAAAATTGATAAACGTGTAGCCAGAGTATCTAAGAGAAAAAGAGAGAAGATACAAATAAATAAAAGCAGAAATGAAAAAGTAGACATTACAACTGATACTGCAGAAATTTAAATTCATTAGCGGCTACTATGAGCAGCTATATGCCAATAAATTGGGAAAGCTAGATGAAGTGAATAAATTTTTAGACACATACAATCTACCAAGATTAAACCATGAAGAAATCCAAAACCTGAACAGATCAATAACAAATAACAAGATCAAAGGCATAATAAAATCCTCCCAGTAAAGAAAAGCCTGGGACCTGATGGCTTCATTGCTGAATTCTATCAAACATTTAAAGAAGAACTAATAACATTCTTACTCAAACTATTCCAGAAAACAGAAGAGGAGGGAACACCTTCAAACTCATTCTATGAGGCCAGTATTACCTTGATACCAAAACCAGACAAACACCTCAAACAAAACAAAACAAAACAAAACAAAACAAAACAAAACAAAAACTACAGACCAATATCTCTGATGAATATTCATGCAAAAATTCTCAATGAAATACTAGAAAACCAAGTTCAACAATACATTAGAAAGATCATTCATCATGACCAAGTGGGATTTATCCCTGTGATGCAAGGATGGTTTAACACATGCAAATCAGTCAATGTGATCCATCATATCAACAGAATGAGGAAAAATATCATAGTCATTTTAATTGATGCCCAAATAGCATTTGATAACTTTTAACTTCCCTTATGATAAAAACTCTCAAAAAACTGAGTGTAGAAGGAATATACCTCAACATAAAAGTCAAGTATGACAGACTCACAGCTGGTATCCTACTGAACAAGAAAGAACTGAAAGCCTTTTTTCTAAGATCTGGAACACAACAAGGATGCCCACTGTCACTGCTGTTATTTAACATAGAAATGGAAGTCCTAGTTAGAGCAATCAGACAAGAGAAAGATATAAAGGATATCTGAATTGGAAAGGAAGAAGTCAAATTATACTTGTTTGCAGATGATATGATTTTACATTTGGAAAATACTAAATACTACACACACACACACACACACACACACACACAACAATTAAAACTAAAAAGCAAAAAAATGTTGGAGAATACAAAATTAACATAAAAAATCAGTAGCATTTCTAAATGTCAACAGGGAACAATCTGAAAAAGAAATTTAAAAAGTAATTCCATTTACAATAGCCACACACAAAACTAAATACCTAAAAATTAACCAAGCAGGTGAAATATCTCGATAATGAAAATTATAAAACACTGAGGAAAGAAGTTGAAAAGGACACCAAGAAATGGAAAAATAGTCAATGTTCATGGATTGGAAGAATCAATATTGTTAAAATGCCTTTATTCTCCAAAGCTATCTACAGATTCAATGCAATCCCTGTCAAAATACCAGTGAATTCTTTGCATAAATAGGAAAAACTATCCTAAATTTTATACAGAACCACAAAAGGCCCAGAATAGCCCGCACTATCCTGAGCAAAAGAACAAAGCTCGAGGAATCACAGTACCTGACTTCAAATTATAATACAGAGCTATAGTAACCCAAACAGTATGGTACTGGCTTAAATAAAAACAGACACATAGACTAATGGAACAGAATAGAGAACCCAGAAAAAAATCCACATACCTACAGTGAGCTCAATTTCCACAAAGGTGCCAAGAACATACACCGAGGAAAAGACAGTCTCTTCAATAAATTGTACTGGGAAAACTGGGTATCCATATGCAGAAGAATGAAAATAGACCCTATCTCTTGACACATACACAAATCAAATAAAAATGGATGAAAGACTTAAATCTAAGACATAAACTATGAAATTACTTCAAGAAAACTTTGGGAAACGTCTTCAAGACATTGGTCTGGGCAAAAGTTTCTTGAGCAATACCCCACAGGTGGCAACCAAAGACAAAATGGATCACATCAATTTAAAAAGCTTCTGCACAGCAAAGAAAACTATCAACAAAATGAAGAGATAACCCACAGCATGGAAGAAGATATTTGCAAACTATCCACCTGACAAGGGATTAATAACCAGAAGACATAAGTAGTTCAAACAACTCTGTAGGAAAGTATCTAATAGTTCAATAAAAAGCTGGGCAAAACATTTAAATAGACATTTCTTAAAAGAAGACATACAAATGGCAAAAGTGCTCAACGTCATTGATCATCAGAGAAATGAAAAATAAAAGTACAATGAGATATTCTCTTACCCCAGTTAAACTGTCTTTTATCCAAAGACAAGCAATAACAAATGCTGGTGTGAATGTGGAGAAAAGAGAACCCTCACACACTGTTGGTGGGAATGTAAATTAGTACAACCGCTGCAGAAAACAGTTTGGAGGTTCCTCAGAAAAGCAAAAAATAGAGCTACCATATGATCCAGCAATCCCATTACTGGGTATATACTCAAAAGAAAAGAAATCAGTATATCAGAGAAATATCTGCATTCCCATGTTTGTTGCAGCACTGTTCACATAGCTAAGATAAGGAAGCAATTTCAGTGACCATCAACAGATGAATGGATAATGTTCTAATATACATAATGGCATACTATTCGGCCATGAAAAAAAGAATGAGATTCTGTCATTTGCAACAATATGGATGGAACTGGATGTCATTATGTTAAGTGAAATAAGCCAGGCTAAGAAAAACAAACATCACATGTTTTCACTTATCTGTGGGATCTAAAAATCAAAACAATTGAACTCATGGACATGTGCAGTAGAAAAATTGTTACCAGAGGCTGGAAAGGGTAGTGGGGGTTTGGGAAGCAGGTAGGGAGTGTTAATAGGGAATGTTAATAGTTAGAAAGAATGAATAAGACCTACTATTTGATAGCACAACAGGATAGTTGATAATAATGTGTACATTTTAAAATAACTAAAATAGGCCGGGCTTAGTGGCTCAAGCCTATAATCCCAGCACTTTGGGAGGATGAGGAGGGCTGATCACTTGAGGTAGGGAGTTTGAGACCAGCCTGACCAACATGGAGAAAACCCGTCCCTACTAAAAATACAAAATTAGTCAGGAGTGGTGGCGCATGCCTATAATCCCAGCTACTCGGTATGCTGAGGCAGGAGAATCGCTTGAACCCAGGAGGCAGAGGTTGCAGTGAGCTGAGATTGCACCATTGTGCTGCAGCCTGGTCGACAAGAGCAAAACTCCATCTCAAAAAATAAATATAAATAAATAAATACATACATAAATACATGAATAAAATAAAATAACGAAAATAATGTAATTGGGTTGCTTGTAACACAAAGGATAAATGCTTGAGTGGATGGATATCTCATTCTCAATGATGTGATTATTTCACATTACATGCCTGTATCAAAATACTAATATCTCATGTACCCCATAAATATATCACCTACTACGATCCCACAAAAATGAAAACAGTTTTTTAAAAAATCAAGAATACATAGATGTTCTAGAGGTTATATTACTTACCTTAGATGTATTCTGGAGAATCTCCCTTGCCTACTTTGTACCTTTGTGTCCAAGTAGCCTTCTTGAGCTACTCTAGAGCAAGTAAAAATCTTTGACCTCCCAGGTAGTCTTCTGATTCTTCATAACTGGGTGCTGAATGAACACAGACTATGAATATATTATTTTTTGCAAGTCCAGCTGGGCTAAGGCATGATAAAGAAATAAACATAGTAAGGAAAAGGGTTACAGTTATATAGGGTCCCTATAAAGGGTTAGGGTTCTGTTGGGATAAAGTGTAGAATAAAATAGTTTGTTTAAGAGAGTGAATAAGAGTATTTATTGGAAAATACAAGCAACGCCAGAGTCTTTATGGATCCACAATTTGAAGATTTTTATGAGAATAATTAGACTTATTAATCATTTTTGATATTCAATATTGACTGTGAACTTTCTATTTAGCAGGTACTATCCTCATGTTATGGCTTGGATATAGTTTGCTTGTCCCCAACAAAACTCATGTTGAAATTTGATCCCCAGTTTTGTTGTATTGGAAAGTGGGGACTAAAGGGAGGTGTTTGGATTATGAGGACGAATCTCTCATAAATTACGTGGCATGGTTTGTGGTAGAGAATAAGTTCTCATTCTCAAGAGACTGAAAATATTCTCTTGAGAGTGGGTGTTAAAATTTAGCCTAAAGCTGTCTCCTTACATATTTTAAGCTTGTCCTGAAACATTTCTCAGTATTTAGTGAACTGTAAACTAATTGGATGTGTAAATAGACTATAATCTCCTACTGTACGAATTACTGAGTTGCAGCTAGCCACAGGCAGCCAACTGTTCAAACTGTGTACAAATAAGGCAAAGGCCAGGCTGTAACCAATCCAGCTGTTTCTGTATTTCACTTCTATTTTCTGTACATCACTTTCCTTTTTCTGTCCAAAAATCCTATCCGACCGTACAGCATCTTGGAATCTTCCTCAAGCTATTCTGGTTAGGAGGTAATTCCACATTCACAAATTGTTCTTTGCTTAATGAAACTCTGTTAAATTCAATATGTTTGAGGTTTTTCTTTTAACAGTGGGTTCTTATAAAAGCAGGATGCCCCTCATGTTTTGTCTCTGTACATGTGTCTGCTTCTCCTTTGACTTTCTCTGGCATGTTATAATGCAGTACAAAAGCCCTCATGAGACGCCAAGTGCATCTTCCTAGCCTGAAGATCTTCCATCCCTTGATCTTCCTAGCCTGAAGAATTGTGAGCTAAATAAACCTATTTTTCTAAAATAAATTACTCAGCCTCAGGTTTTCTGTTATAGCAACACGTAATGAACTAAGACACCTCAGTAAGTATTAAAGCCTATAAGGTCAACGTTATTTTTATCTTTGCTTTACAGATGAAGAAACTGAGGCAAGAGAGGCCAATCACTTACCAAAGTTCAAATAGTTAATAATTTTGGAAGTGGAATTTAAATACAATAAGTTTGCCCTAAGAGTTTATGTTCCTAATCCACATAGAGTTTAGCAGGATGAAGGTAGACACGTGAAGCTTTCTCATATAAAACAAAGAGGAACAAAGGTGAGACTGTTTGCGAGATGAGATATTAAATTCTGCACTTGTAAAGTGCAAATTATCCATATGAAGAAAAGAAGAAATAAGTGATTATGTGGGTAGACTTAGGACCCAAAATCTAGAGTTGGATATAGCATAAAATAAAAGTAAGTGGAGAAAGAATAACAAGAGGTTTTAAGCACTGAATATAATAGGTCTTATTTAATATTTATGACAACTCTGTGAATTAGGTACTATTATTTTCCTCCGAGGAAACGGTAGTTCAAGGTGGTTAAGTAACTTGATTACACATCAGGTAAGTGGTAGAGCTTTAATCGGAACCCAGATATGGCTGATTATCCTCCAAGCGATTATTTTTTACTCTTAATATATCTATCCTTTTAATATTGTAACTTTCTTATACAAAGAGTAGTAAGTATATCCAGAATTTTAAATCACAGGAGTTCAAATCATTTAAACTTTCTCATCAACCAATTTTATTATGGACCATTTTCTTTTTCCATTTGGGGAGAGCATTTTTTAACTGCTTTATTAAGATATAATTTAGATACCATAAAGTTCACCTATTTACAATGTACAATTCAGTGGATTATAGAATGAATAAAGAGTTGTGTGACTATCATCATAATCTGATTTGGGAACATTTTCATCATTCCAAAAATAAACCACATACCCATTAGTAGTCACTCCCCAGCTCCTCTCCTTCAAGCCCCAGGAAACCACAAATAATTGTCTTTATATTTTCCTGTTTTGGATATATCATATCAATCTCTTGACCTTGGAATTTTAAAACAATATATTCTTTGCCAAAAGGTTTTTCTTAATTTACATGTATTATTTTAGCATTTCTTACAGCATCTTGAGGAACCTGGAGCAGACAGAACTATTTCAGTAGAAAAACAATTTCTACGTAGGTTATATAATTTAATTTTTAGTAGGTAAAATAAAGGAATAGAAGTGGCAGGATAACATTGTAAAAAGAATAATAGTCATAAAACCAATGTCTAGCCCTTATTTTTGAATTTAATAATTTTGTCTATTTAATAAACATTAGTTGAAATGTACAGAGTGAGATGTATGTGTCTATGAATGCAAATGTGAGTAAAAAGGATCTCTCTTTTCAAGGAGTTTTTAATCAAGTAAATGAACCAGATATTAAATAAATTCAGTAAAAGATAATAGATAATTAGAGATATACATTGGGATTTTTGAAAAGAAAAAGGAGAGACGTTTAGTTTTGAATTTGGATGTGGAGAGAATGTTAAATCAAAGACTGATTATGATGCTTCCTGGATAATCTTGGAGCTATCACTTTGCTTCTTAACAAACCTAGAAATTATTTATTTTTTAAGGTGAGATAGTTAAAAATGATCTTTGAAATCCCTTTTAACTCTGTAATTTTGAGTGAGGAGAAGAAATATTTTGGTATTATTTCACCTCCTTCACTATTAACATATGAACGCACATGTCCTTTTGGTAGAATGATTTGTTTTATTTTGGGTATATACCCAGTAATGGGATTTTTGGGTCAAATGGTAATTTTGTTTTAAGTTCTTTGAGAAATCTCCAGACTGTTTCCACAGTGACTGAACTAATTTACATGTCCATTAACAGTGTGTAAGCATTGATTTGGCAATGCAGGGTCTTTTTTGGTTCCATATGAACTTTAAAGTAGTTTTTTTCCAATTCTGTGAAGAAAGTCATTGGTAGCTTGATGGGGATGGCATTGAATCTATAAATTACCTTGGGCAGTATGGCCATTTTCACAATATTGGTTCTTCCTACCCATGAGCATGAAATGTTCTTCCACTTGTTTGTATCCTTTTTTATTTCATTGAGCAGTGGTTTGTAGTTCTCCTTGAAGAGATCCTTCACATCCCTTGTAAGTTGGATTCCTAGGTATTTTATTCTCTTTGAAGCAATTGTGAATGGGAGTTCACTCATGATTTGGCTCTCTGTTTGTCTGTTATTGGCGTATAAGAATGCTTGTGATTTTTGCACATTGATTTTGTATCCTCAGACTGCTGAAGTTGCCTATCAGCTTAAGGAGATTTTGGGCTGAGACGATGGGGTTTTCTAGATACACAATCATGTCATCTGCAAATAGGGACAATTTGACATCCTCTTTTCCTAATTGAATACCCTTTATTTCCTTCTCCTGCCTGATTGCCCTGGCCAGAACTTCCAACACTATGTTGAATAGCAGTGGTAAGAGAGGACATCCCTGTCTTGTGCCAGTTTTCCAAGGGAATGCTACCCGTTTTTGCCCATTCAGTCTGATATTGGCTGTGGGTTTGTTATAGATAGCTCTTATTATTTTGAGATACGTCCCATCAATACCTAATTTATTGAGAGTTTTTAGCATGAAGGGTTGTTGAATTTTGTCAAAGGCCTTTTCTGCATCTATTGAGATAATGACATGGTTTTTGTGGTTGGTTCTGCTTATATGCTGGATTATGTTTATTGATTTGAGTATGTTGAACCAGCCTTGCATCCCAGGGATGAAGCCCACTTGATCATGGTGGATAAGCTTTTTGATGTGCTGCTGGATTCGGTTTGCCAGTATTTTATTGAGGATTTTTGCGTCGATGTTCATCAGGGATATTGGTCTAAAATTCTCTTTTTTGTTGTGTCTCTGCCAGGCTTTGGTATCAGGATGATGCTGGCCTCATAAAATGAGTTAGGGAGGATTCCCTCTTTTTCTGTTGATTGGAATAGTTTCAGAAGGAATGGTACCAGCTCCTCCTTGTACCTCTGGTAGAATTCGGCTGTGAATCCATCTGGTCCTGGACTCTTTTTGGTTGGTAAGCTATTAATTATTGCCTCAATTTCAGAGCCTGTTATTGGTTTATTCAGAGATTCAACTTCTTCCTGGTTTAGTCTTGGGAGGGTGTATGTGTCGAGGAATTTATCCATTTCTTCTAGATTTTCTAGTTTATTTGCATAGAGGTGTTTATGGTATTCTCTGATGGTAGATTGTATTTCTGTGGGATCGGTGGTGATATCCCTGTATCATTTTTTATTGTGTCTATTTGATTCTTCTCTCTTTTCTTCTTTATTAGTCCTGCTAGCGGTCTATCAATTTTGTTGATCTTTTCAAAAAAACCAGCTCCTGAATTCATTAATTTTTTGAAGGGTTTTTTGTGTCTCCATTTCCTTCAGTTCTGCTCTGATCTTAGTTATTTCTTGCCTTCTGCTAGCTTTTGAATGTGTTTGCTCTTGCTTCTCTAGTTCTTTTAATTGTGATGTTAGGGTGTCAATTTTAGATCTTTCCTACTTTCTTTTGTGGGCATTTAGTGCTATAAATTTCCCTCTACACACTGCTTTGAATGTGTCCCAGAGATTCTGGTATGTTGTGTCTTTGTTCTCGGTGGTTTCAAAGAACATCTTTATTTCTGCCCTCATTTCGTTATGTACCCAGTAGTTATTCAGGAGCAGGTTGTTCAGTTTCCATGTAGTTAAGCGGTTTTGAGTGAGTTTCTTAATCCTGAGTTCTAGTTTGATTGCACTGTGGTCTGAGAGATAGTTTGTTATAATGTTTGTTCTTTTACATTTGCTGAGGAATGTTTTAGTTCCAACTATGTGGTCAATTTTGGAATAGGTGTGATGTGGTGCTGAAAAGAATGTATATTCTGTTGATTTGCGGTGGGGAGTTTTGTAGATGTCTATTAGGTCTGCTTGGTGCAGAGCTGAGTTCAATTCCTGGGTATCCTTGTTAACTTTCTGTATCATTGATGTGTCTAATGTTGACAGTGGGGTGTTAAAGTCTCCCATTGTTATTGTTTGGGAGTCTAAGTCTCTTTGTCTCTAAGGACTTGCTTTATGAATCTGGGTGCTCCTGTATTGGGTGCATATATATTTAGGATAGTTAGCTCTTGTTGTTGAATTGATCCCTTTACCATTATGTAATGGCCTTCTTTGTCTCTTTTGATCTTTGTTGGTTTAAAGTCTGTTTTATCAGAGACTAGGATTGCAACCCCTGCCTTTTTTTGTTTTCCATTTGCTTGGTAGATCTTCCTCCATCCCTTTATTTTGAGCCTATGTGTGTCTCTGCACCTGAGATGGGTTTCCTGAATACAGCACACTGATGGGTCTTGACTCTTTATCCAATTTGCCAGTCTGTGTCTTTTAATTGGAGCATTTAGCCCATTTACATTTAAGGTTAATATTGTTATGTGTGAATTTGATCCTGTCATTATGATGTTAGCTGGTTATTTTGCTCGTTAGTTGATGTAGTTTCTTCCTAGCCTCGATGGTCTTTACAATTTGGCATGTTTTTGCAGTGGCTGGTACCGGTTGTTCCTTTCCATGTTTAGTGCTTCCTTCAGGAGCTCTTTTAGGGCAGACCTGGTGGTGGCAAAATCTCTCAGCATTTACTTGTCTGTAAAGGATTTTATTTCTCCTTCACTTATGAAATTTAGTTTGGCTGGATATGAAATTCTGGGTTGAAAATTCTTTTCTTTAAGGATGTTGAATATTGGCCCCCACTCTCTTCTGGCTTGTAGAGTTTCTGCCGAGAGATCCGCTGTTAGTCTGATGGGCTTCCCTTTGTGGGTAACCCGACCTTTCTCTCTGGCTGCCCTTAACATTTTTTCCTTCATTTCAACTTTGATGAATCTGACAATTATGTGTCTTGGAGTTGCTCTTCTCAAGGTGTATCTTTGTGGCGTTCTCTGTATTTCCTGAATTTGAATGTTGGCCTACCTTGCTAGATTGGGGAAGTTCTCCTGGATAATATCCCGCAGAGTGTTTTCCAACTTGGTTCCATTCTCCCCGTCACTTTCAGGTACACCAATCAGACGTAGATTTGGTCTTTTCACATAGTCCCATATTTCTTGGAGGCTTTGTTTGTTTCTTTTTATTCTTTTTTCTCTAAACTTCTCTTCTCACTTCATTTCATTCATTTGATCTTCCATCACTGATACCCTTTCTTCCAGTTGATCGAATTGGCTACTGAGGCTTGTGCATTTGTCACGTAGTTCTCGTGCCGTGGTTTTCAGCTCCATCAGGTCCTTTAAGGACTTCTCTGCATTGGTTATTCTAGTTAGCCATTCAGCTAACTTTTTTTCAAGATTTAAACTTCTTTGCCGTGGGTTCGAACTTCCTCCTTTAGCTCAGAGTAGTTTGATCGTCTGAAGCCTTCTTCTCTCAACTCGTCAAAGTCATTCTCTGTGCAGCTTTGTTCCGTTGCTGGTGAGGAGCTGCGTTCCTTTGGAGGAGGAGAGGTGCTCTGATCTTTAGAGTTTCCAGTTTTTCTGCTCTGCTTTTTTCCCCATCTTTGTGGTTTTATCTACCTTTGGTCTTTGATGATGGTGACGTGCAGATAGGGTTTTGGTGAGGATGTCCCTTCTGTTTGTTAGTTTTCCTTCTAACAGTCAGGACCCTCAGCTGCAGGTCTGTTGGAGTTTGCTGGAGGTCCACTCCAGACCCTGTTTGCCTGGCATCAGCAACGGAGGCTGCAGAACAGCGGATATTGGTGAACAGCAAATGTTGCTGCCATATGTAGAAAGCTGAAACTGGATCCCTTCCTTACACCTTATACGAAAATTAATTCAAGATGGATTAAAGACTTAAATGTTAGACCTAAAACCATAAAAACCCTAGAAGAAAACCTAGGCAATACCATTCAGGACATAGGCATGGGCAAGGACTTCATGTCTAAAACACCAAAAGCAATGGCAACAAAAGCCAAAACTGACAAATGGGATCTAATTAAACTCAAGTGCTTCTGCACAGCAAAAGAAACTACCATCAGAGTGAACAGGCAACCTACAGAATGGGAGAAAATTTTTGCAATCTACACATCTGACAAAGGGCTAATATCCAGAATCTACAATGAACTCAAACAAATTTACAAGAAAAAAACAAACAACCCCATCAAAAAGTGGGCGAAGGATATGAACAGACACTTCTCAAAAGAAGACATTTATGCAGCCAAAAGACACATGAAAAAATGCTCATCTTCACTGGCCATCAGAGAAATGCAAATCAAAACCACAGTGAGATACCATCTCACACCAGTTAGAATGGCGATCATTAAAAAGTCAGGAAACAACAGGTGCTGGAGAGGATGTAGAGAAATAGGAACACTTTTACACTGTTGGTGGGACTGTAAACTAGTTCAACCATTGTGGAAGTCAGTGTGGTGATTCCTCAGGGATCTTGAACTAGAAGTACCGTTTGACCCAGCCATCCCATTACTGGGTATATACCCAAAGGATTATAAATCATGCTGCTATAAAGACACATGCACACGTATGTTTATTGCGGCACTATTCACAATAGCAAAGACTTGGAACCAACCCAAATGTCCAACAATGATAGACTGGATTAAGAAAATATGGCACATATACACTATGGAATACTATGCAGACATAAAAATGATGAGTTCATGTCCTTTGTAGGGACATGGATGAAGATGGAAACCATCATTCTCAGCAAACTATTGCAAGGACAAAAAACCAAACACCCCATGTTCTCACTCATAGATGGGAATTGAAGAATGAGAATACATGGACACAGGAAGGGGAACATCACAAACTGCGGCCTGTGGTGGGGTTGGGGGAGGGGGGAGGGATAGCATTAGGAGATATACCTAATGTAAATGATGAGCTAATGGGTGCAGCACACCAACATGGCACATGTATACATATGTAACAAACCTGCATGTTGTACACATGTACCCTAAAACTTAAAGTATAATAATAAAAAAAACAGTGTGTAAGCATTCCATTTTCTCCAAAATCTTGGCAGCATCTGTTGTTTCTTAATGTTTCAATAGTAGCCATTCTGACTGATGTGAGATGGCATCTCCTTGTGGTTTTGATTTACATTTCTCTAATGATTAGTTATGTTCAGCATTTTTCAAGTGCTTGCTGGCTGCATCTATGTCTTCTTTTGAAAAGTGTCTATTTATGTCTTTTGTCCACTTTTTAATGGGCCTATTTGTCTTTTGCTTGTTCATTTAGGTTCCTTATAGATTCTGGATATTAAACCTTTGTCAGATGAATAGTTTGCAAGTATTTTCTCCCATTCTGTAGGCTGTCTGTTTACTCTGTTCATAGTTTATTTTGCTGTGCAGAAGCTCTTTTGTTTAATTAGATCCCATTTGTCAATTTTTGTTTTTGTTGCAATTGCTTTTGGCATATTTGTCATGAAATCTTTGCCAGGGCCTATGTCCAGAGTTGTGTTTCTTAGGTTTTCTTCTAGGCTTTTATAGTTTGAGGTTTTACATTTAAGTCTTTAATCCATCTTGAGTTGATTTTTTGTATATGGTCTAAGGAAGGGGTCCAGTTTTAATTTTCTGCATATTGCTGGTCAGTTGTCCCAGCATCATTTATTGAATAGGAAACCCTTTTCCCATTGCTTATTTTTGTCAGTTTTGTCAAAGATCAGATGCATGTAGGTATGCAGCTTTATTTCTCAGTTCTCTTACCTGTTCTGTTGATGTATGTTTCTGTTTTTGTACCATTACCTTGTTATTTTTGCTACCGTAGTCTTATAGTATGGTGTGAAGTTGGGTAATGTACTGTCTCCAGCATTTTTATTTTTTTCTTAGGATTGCTTTAACACTTTGGGCTACTTTTTGGTTCCATAGAATTTTAGAATAGTTTTTCTAGTTCTGTGAAATATAATGTTAGTAGTTTGATAGGAATAATATTAGATCTGTAAATTGCTTTGGGCAGCATGACCACTTTGTTTGTTTTTTTTTTTTTGAGACAGAGTCTCGCTCTGTTGCCCAGGCTGGAATGTAGTGGCGTGATCTCGGCTCACTGCAAGCTCTACCTCCCAGGTTCACGCCATTTTCCTGCCTCAGCCTCCCAAGTAGCTGGGACTACAGGCGCCTGCCACCACACCTGGCTAATTTTTTGTATTTTTAGTAGAGACAGGGTTTCACCGTGTTAGCCAGGATGGTCTCAATCTCCTGACATCATGATCCACCCACCTCAGCCTCCCAAAGTGCTGGGATTACAGGCATGAGCCACTGTGCCTGGCCATGATGACTTTTAACAATATATATCCTTCCTATTCATGAGCATGGAATGTTTTTTCATTTGTTTGTATCATCTCTGATTTCTTTCTTTCAGTGTTTTATAATTCTCATTGTAGAGATCCTTCAGATCCCTATTTAGTTGTATTCCTAGATCTTTTTTAATATGGTCATTGTGAATGAGATGGTGTTCTTGATTTGGCACTCAGCCTGGATGTTGTTGGTGTGTAAAAATGTTAGTGATTTTTGTACGATGATTTTGTATCTTAAAACCTTACTGAAATTGTCTACCAGATCTAGGATACTTGCAGAGACTCTGGCGTTTTCTGGATATAAAATCATATTGGATGCAAATAGAGATAGTTTGACTTCCTCTCTTCCTAATTGGATGCCTTTAATTTATTTCTCTTGTCTGATTGCTCTGGCTAAGACTTCTAGTACTATGTTGAATAGGAATGGTTGAGAGTGCGCATCCTTGTCTTTTTCTAGTTCTCAAGGGGAATTGAACTTTTGCCCATTCAGTATGGTGTTAACTGTGGATGTTGTATAGATGGCTCTTATTATTTTCAGATATATTCTTTCAGTGCCTAGTTTGTTGAGTGTTTTTAATATGAAAAAAAGATGTTGAATGTTATAGAAAGCCTTTTCTGCATGCATTGAGTTGATCACATGGCTTTTGTTTTTAGTTCTGTTTATGTGAGGAATGACATTTATTGATTTGTGTATGTTGAACCAACCTTGAATTCCAGGGATAGTGCCTATTGATCATGGTCGATTTACTTTTAGATGTGCTGCTGAATTTGGTTTGCTAGTATTTTGTTGAGGATTTTTGGAATCTATGTTCATCAAGGATATTGGCCTGAAATTATTTTCCTTGTGTCTCTGTCAAGTTTTTGTATCAGGAAGATCCTGGCCTCATAGAATAAATTAGGGAAGAATCTCTCCTCCTCATTTTTTTGTAACATTTTCAGTTGGAATTGTCCCAGGTCTTTATACGTTTGGTAGAGTTAGGTTGTGAATCTGTCTGGTCCAGGACTTTCCCTGGTTTGTAGGATTTTTTATTACTTATTGAATTTCAAAATTCATTATTTGTCTGTTCAGTGTTTCAATTTCTTTCTGGTTCAATCTTGGGGGGTCATATGTTTCCAGGAATTGATCCATTTCTTCTAGGTTTTTTAGTTTCTGTGTGTAGAGGTGTTTGTAATAGTCTCTGAGGGTTTTTTCTTTTGTATTTCCGTGGAGACTGGTATAGTGTCCTCTTTGTCATTTCTGATTGTGTTTTGTGATTTGTTTGTGTTCCTTGTAGATTCTAGATATTAGTCTTTGTTGAATGGATAGTTAGCTAATATTTTCTCCTACTCTGTAGGTTGTCTGTTTGCTGATTCTTTATTTTGCTGTGCAGAAGCTTTTTAATTTAATTAGGTACCATCTATTTATTTTTGTTTTTGTTGTATTTGCTTTTGGGGTCTTACTCATGAATTCCTTGCCTAAGCCAATGTCTAGAAGAGTTTTTTTGATGTTATCTTCTAGAATTTTTATGGTTTCAAGTCTTAGATTTAAGTCTTTGATCCATCTTGAGTTGATCTTTGTATAAAGTGAGAGATGAGGATCTGGTTTCATCCTTCTACATGTGGCTTGCTAGTTTTCCCAGCACCATTTATTGAATAAGGTGTCCTTTACTCATTTTTTGTTTTTGTATGCTTTAGCGAAGGTTAGTTGGCTGTAAGTATTTGGCTTTATTTCTGAGTTCTCTATTCTGTTCCATTGGTCTACATGCCTATTTTTATATCAGTACCATGCTATTTGGGTAACTATATCCTTGTAGTATAATTCCAAGTTGGATAATGTGATGCCTCCAGATTTGTTCTTTTTGCTTAGTCTCACTTGTGATATGTGGGGTCTTTTTTGGTTCCATATGAATTTTAGGATTTTTTTCTAATTCTGTGAATGATAATGATGATGTTTTGATGAGAATTACATTGAATCTGTAGACTGCTTTGGGCAGTGTGATCATTTTCATGATATTGATTCTACCTATCCATGAGCATGAGAGGCGTTTCCATTTATTAGTGTCATATATAATTTCTTACAGCAATGTTTTGTAGTTTTCCTATAGAGAAGTTTCACCTGCTTGGTTAAGTACTTTCCTGAGTATTTTTTTTTTTTGAGCTGTTGTTAAAGGGAGTGAGTTATTGATCTGATTCTCAGCTTGGTTATTGTTTGTGTATAGCAGTGCTTCATCTTCTATTTTATATACAAGGGATAGGTGTGCTGGTTTGTTACATAGGTATATTGCATGATGCTAAGTTTTGGGGTATGTATCCTGTCATCCAGGTAGTGAAAAACATACCCAATAGATAGGTCTGCACCCACACATCCCTCCCTCCCCTCTCTAGAAGTCCAAAGTGTCTATTATTCCCATGTTTATGTCCATGTGTGCTCAATGATTAGCTCCAACTTGTAAGTGAGAACATGGGGCATTTGGTTTTCCATTATTGCATTAAATAGCTTAGAATAATGGCCTCCGGCTGCATTCATATTGTTGCAAAGAACATGATTTTGTTCTTTTTTGTGGCTGCATAGTGTTTCACCATGTATAGGTGTCATATTTTCTTTATTCAATCCACCACTAATTAGTACCTAAGTTGATTCCTTGTCTTTGCTATTGTGAATAGCATGGTAATAAACATACTTGTGCATATGTCCTTTTTGTAGAATGATTTTTTTCCTTTGGTTATATACTCAGCAATTAAATTGCTAAGATAAATAAGAGCTCCATTTTAAGTTCTTTGAGAAACTCCAAACTGATTTACACAAGGGATGAACTAGTTTACATTCTCCCCACCAGTATCTAAGTGTTTCTTTCCTCTGCAGTCTCACCGGCATCTGTTGCTTTTTGACCTTTTAATAATAGCCATACTGACTGGTGTGAGATGGTATCTCATTGTGGTTTTGATTTGCATTTCTTCTGATGAGTATATATATATATATATATATATATATATATATATATATATATATATATATATATATATATATATATAGCTGCATAGTATCCCATGGTGTATATCTACCACATTTTCTTTATCCTGTCTACCATTAATGGACATTCAGCTTAATTCCATATATTTGCTATTACAAATGATGTTGCAATGAACATATGCTTGCGTGTGTCTTTATAATAGAATGATTTATATTCCTTTGGGTACATACCCAGGAATGGGATTGCTGGGTCAAATGGTGTTTCTGCTTTCAGGTCATTGAGGAACCACCACACTGTCTTCCACAATGGTTGAACTAATTTATATTCCTGCCAACAGTATATAAGTGTTCCTTTTTCTCCACAACGTTACCAGCATCTGTTATTTTTTGACATTTTAGTAATGGCCATTCTGACTGGTGTGAGGTGATGTCTCACTGTGGTTTTGATTTGCATTTCTCTAATGATCAGTAATGTTGAGCTCTTTTTTTCATATGATTGTTGGCTGCATGTATATCTTCTTTTGAAAAGTTTCTGTTAATATCCTTTGTTCACTTTTTATTGGGGTTGTTTTTTCTTGTAAATTTGCTTAAGTTCCTTAAAGATGCTGGATATTAGACCCTTGTCAGATGCATAGCTTGAAAAAATTTTCTTCCGTTCTCTAGATTGTCTGTTCACTCTGTTGATAGTTTTCTTTGCTCTGCAGAAGCTCTTTAGTTTAATGAGATCCTACTTGTTAATTTTTGCTTTTGTTGCAATTGCTTTTCACCACTTCTATGTCTTCTTTTGAGAAGTGTTAATATACTATGCCCATTTTTTAAATGAGCTTATTATTTTTTTTTTTTTTGCTTGTTGATTTGTTTAAGTTTCTTATAAACTCTGGATATTAAACCTTTGTCATATGCATAGATTGTGAATAATTTCTCTCATTCTTTAGGTTGCCTGTTTACTCAGTTGATTATTTCTTTTGCTATGAAGAAGCTCTTTCATTAAATTAGGTCCCACTTGTCTATTTTTGTTTTTGTCGAAGTTGATTTTGGGGACTTAGCCAAAAATCATTTGCCAAAGTTGATGTCAGGAAGGGTGTTTCCTAGGTTTTCTTCTAGGATTTTGATAGTTTGAGGTTTTACATTTAAATATTTACTTCATCCTGAGTTAATTTTTCTATATGGTAAAAAGTAGGATTCTGATTGTATTGTTCTGCATGTGGCTGGCAGTTATCCAAGATTACTTATTGAATAGGGAGTCCACTCCCATTGCCTGTTTCTATTGGTCTTGTTGAAAATCAGGTGATTGTGAGTGTGAAGCTTTACTTCTGAGTGTTCTATTCTGTTCCATTGGTCTATGTGTCTCTTTTTGTCCCAGTATCTTGCTGTTTTGGTTACTGTAACCCCATAATACAATTTGGAGTTAGTAGTGTGATGTCTCTGGCTTTGTTATTTTTGCTTAGGATTGTTTGGCTACTGGGGTTTTTTTTGTTCCATGTGAATTTAGAATATGTTTTCTAATTCTCTGAAGAATGACTTTGAGAGTTTCATATGAATAGCATAGAATCTGAAAATTGCTTTGGGCGGCAGTATGACCACTTCTGTAATATTGATTCTTCCAATTCATGTGCATCAAATTATTTTCCATTCATTAGTATCATCTCTGATGTCTTTAACCAGGGTTTTGTAATTCTCCCTGTAGATATCTTTCTCCTCCCTGGTTAGCTGTAACCCTAGGTGTTTATGTGTGTGTGTGTGTGTATGATAGGGGGCTACTGTGAATGGGATTCTGTTCTTGCTTTGGTTCTCAGCTTGGATGTTGGTGATGTATAGAAATGCTATTAATTTTTATACACGATTTTGTATCCTGAAACTTCACTAAAGTCACTTATCATTTCTAGGAGCCTTCTGGCAGAATCTTTAGGACTACATATAGAATCATATTATCAGTGAGGACAGGTAGTTTTACTTCTTTCTTTCATATTTTGATGCTTTTTATTACTTTCTCTTGCCTGATTGCTCTGGCTAGGACTTCCTGAACTATGCTGGGTAGGAGTGATGAGAAGGAGTATCCTTGTCTTGTTCCAGTTCTCAAGGGAAATGGTTTGAGCTTTTGCCCATTCAGTATGATGTTGGCTGTAGATTTGTCATAGATGGTACTTCTTTTCTGGTATGTTGCTTTGATGCCTAGTTGGTTGAGGGTTTTCTTCACGAAGGGATGTTGGATTTTATCAAAAGCTTTTTCAGAACCCATTTAGATAATCATATAGTTTTTCTTTTTAATTCTATTTATATAGCAAATCACATTTATTGATTTGTGTATGTTGAACCAGCTTTGCATCCCAGGAATGAAGCTTACTTGATTGTGGTGAATTAACTTTTTAATATACTGCTAGATTTGGTTTTCTAGTATTTTGTGGAGGACTTTAATATCTGTGTTTGTAATCGATACTGGCCTATAATTTTTTTGTTGTTGTGTCTCTGCAAGATTTTGGTATCTGTCTGATGCTAGCTTCATACAAAATAAGGTAGGAAGTAGCATCTCCTCTGTGATTTTGTTTGTTTGTTTGTTTGTTTTTTGGAATAGTGTCAGTAGAATTCATACCAGTTCTTTGTATGTCTGGTAGTATTCTGCTGTGAATACATCTGGTCCAGGGGTTTTATTGGTTGCTAGATTTTTTATTACTGGTTTAATTTCAGAGATCAATATTGGTCTATTCAAGGTTTCAATCTCTTCCTGCTTCAATATTTGGAGATTGTGTATTTTCAGGAATTTCATTTCCTCTAGACTTTCTAATTTGTGTATACAATGTTGTTTATTATTGTCTTTGAGGAGTCATTGTGTTTCTGTGGGATCATGTGTAATGTTATCTTTGTCTTTTCTGATTGTACTTATTTGGATATTCTGTTTTGATTTTTTTGTTAGTCTAACTAGCAGTCTATCAATTTTGTTTATTATTTTTAAAGAAACTACTCTTCATTTGGTTGATCTTTTTATGAATTTTTGCATCTCAATTTCATTAACTTCTCTAATTTTAATTATTCCTTTCATATTCTAGCTTTGGGTTTTTTTTTCTGGTTCCTCTATGTGAAATGTTAGACTGTAAATTTGAGATATTTATAACTTCTTGATGCTGGTGTTTAGCATTATAAAGTTTCTTCTGAACACTGCTTTAGCTGCATCCCAGAGATTTTGGCACATTTTGTTCCTATTTTCATTAATTTCAAAGAATTTTTTTTATTTTTACCTTAAATTTCATGTTTACCCAGGAGTTATTCTGGAGCAAGTTGTTTAGTTTCCATGTATTTGTGTGGTTTTGAGATAACTTCTTTATATGAATTTTTATTTTTATTGTACTGTGCTCTGCAGGTGGGCTTGATATGATTTTAAGTTTTTGAATTTATAGAGACTTGCTTTATGACTATGCATGTAGTTTCTTTTACAATATGGTCCATGTGCAGATAAGAAGAAGATATTTTCTGTGGTTGTCAGATGGAGTGTTCTGGTGATGTCTATTTTGTCCAGTTGGTCAGGGATCAAGTTTAAGCCCCAAGTTTCTTTGTGAATTTTCTACCTCAATGGTCTCTCAAATCCTGTTAGTGGGGTGTTGAAGTCTCCCAATATTATTGTGTGGTTGCCTAAGTCTTTTCACTTGGATGTGTATATATTTAGGATACTTAAGTCTTCTGTTCGATTTCACCCTTTATCATTTTGTAATGCCCTTTTCTGTTCTTAATTTTATTGGCTTGAAGTATTTTATCTGATATAAAAATAATTACTCTTGCTCTTATTTTCCATTTGTATAGTAGATCTTTTTTCCATCCCTTTACATTGAGGCTGTGTGTGCTGTAACATGTGAGATGGGTCTCTTGAAGGCAAGATGGTTGAGCCTTGTCTTTTTATCCAGTTTGCCACTTTGTGTCTTTTAAGTGGGGTGTTTAGTCCATTTACATTCATGGTTAGCATTGATGTGTAATTTTGATTCTGTCATTGTGCTCTTAGTTGCTTGTTGTGTAGACTTGACTGTGTAGTTGCTTTAGAGTGACTATGGGCTATGCCCTTAAGTGTGTTTTTGTGGTAGTGGGTGTTGTTATCTCAATTCCATATATAGCATTTCCTCAGGACCTCTTGTAAGGCTTGTCTAGTTGAAATAATTCCCTCAGTGTTTGCTTGTCTGAGAAGGATTACATTTCTCCTTCACTTATGAAGCTCATTTTTGTGGGATATGAAATTCTTGGTTGCAATTTATCTTTTTTAAGGATGCTGAAAATAGTCCCACAATGTCTCCTAGTTTTTAAGATTTTTTTCTGGAAGGTCTGCTGCTTGCCTTATGGGGTTCCCTCTGTATGTGACTTGACCCTTATTTCTAGCTGACTGTAAGATTTTTGTGTGTGTGTTGACCTTGGTGAATCTGATGACTATGTGCCTTGAGGATAGTGTTATGGTTAGTATCTAGCTTGGGTTCTCTGTGTTTCTTGAATTTGCATGTCAATCTCTCTAGTGAAATTAGAAACAATTTTGTGAACTATATCCTCAAGTATAATTTCCAATTTACTTATTCTCTCTCCTTCTTTCTTAGTAATATCAATGAGTCAGATTTGGTCTCTTTAAATAATCCCATATTTCTCGAAAGTTTGGTTCATCTTTTACAATTCTTTTTTAAAAATTTAATTAATTCAAAGAACCATGCTTCAAGCTCTCAGATTCTTTCCTCAGCCTCATTTATTCTGCTGTTAATACTTCTGATTGTGTTATAAAATCCTTGTAGTGAATTTCAGCTCTAGCAGTTTAGTTTGGTTCTTTCTTAAAATGGCTATTTCATCTTTCAGCTCTTGTATGATTTTATTGAATTTCTTGGATTGGGTTTCAACTTCTTCCTGAATCTTGTTGAGCTTTTTTGCAATCAAGATTCTGAATTATATGTCTATCATTTCAGTTATTTCGAACTGGTTATGAACCATTGCTGTGGAACTAGTGGACTTGTTTGCAGGTAAGGGAACACTTTGGCTATTTAAATTGTGAGAGTTCTTGCACTGATTCTCATGTGGAAGGGTTAGTGTTCTTTCAAGTGTGGTGTAAATTGTCTATAGTAAGTTGGCTTCATTTTTGGATTTTTTGGAGGGCCAAGAATCTGTACAGGGTCTTGATTTTTGGCGGAATTCTTGTTCTAGGTTTCACAGGGCAGTGATTAGCATAATATTTTGGTTTTGTAGTTTGGGCTGTGGTCCAGCAGATGGCACTTAAGAGTAATGAGCACTATATAAACTTAGCTGCATAGCTTCTTGATATTCATTGCATTTGCAAGACATGCTCTGTGGTGCGGTGGGAAAAGGTGACTCCCTCATCAAGCCTGCTCCTGGGCCTTGAGGGAGCCCCATACTGTTGCTGACACTGCCACCACATTTTTTTTTGTTTGGTTCTGGGCTGCAAGGCTCCCTGGGCAGAGGTCATGACAGGGAGATTGGCCACATCCTTTCTGGGGTGACCCTGCAGAGGGAGGCATGCCCCACTCCTGCTCCAGTCCATGAACACATGCATCTCACCCTCTCAGTGCTCTGTGAGTGTGGGCTCCTCTCCCATTCAAGTGCCAGCCACAGATCTTGGCTCAGCTCTCCTGAGCTGCTCACTGCAGCCCTAGGGTGCCAGGACTGGCTCTCAGCTCTATCCTCTGTACCAACAGAGTCAGGTACCAGGTGTGCTGGGGAATCCAAAGTGTTCCCAGGCTACAGGGAAGATAATTGGGTGAAGCACAGCACCCAGGCTGGGCAGTGGAAGCCACACTATCCACACATTCCTGTGGGGTGGCCAGGCAGGGGCACTGGGAAAGGCTGGCAAGCAGGAGAATATGCAGTGCAGACATGCCCCAGTCCTGCAGCAAAGTTGGCCCTGCTTTCTCCTGGTTCAGGGTCAGCTGGGGCTAGAGCTTCTTGGACAGAGATGGGAAAACCTGGGGGACAGGTGCTATAGCCACACTCTGCTGCAGCCTGCACAGTGGACAAAGACCTCTGGCTCTGTGCTGACTGAAGCCCTGCCTCTGCTACTCTCCAAGCAGATCCCCCTGTAAGCTCAAACATTAATGGCAGATGTGGGCCCCTTTGTAACCAGGATACCACAGTTCCTTCGCTCACACATTTCCCAGGAGGTGTTCAGGGCCAGGAGCTAGCCGCAGTGTTCTGGTACCCTGCAAATGGTTCCTAGCCTCCTCCATCCTCAGCCTTATCATCTGTGTCACATTACTATCCACTTAACATTTTCTCTCTAAAGATGTATCTAAATTATGTAGGTTTACTATAATTCTTGGCCTCTCTTGATGAGAGTGGTGCTTCCTGGCTGTGTCTAGCTGGCCATTTTGTCCTCCCTCTGCATGTATTATTAAACTACAGATTATCATTAAAAAGTTTTTAACATTTAACATATACATATCTTTTTGATGTTGTTTTGTAAAATTTTATTTCTTGAATACTTTATAATTATGTATTTTTTCTTTGTTTGAATAATTTATAATTATATTCTCTATCTCTGAAACCTGAAATCATGGTATTACAGTTTCCTTTTCCTTTTGTCTTCTTACACCCTCTCTTACACCTTATCATTCACCTAGTCTCAAGTCATTTGACAATTTTTTATAACAGAGCTCAGAATCTTAAAAGAGCCCAAAGAATAGAGTAAGTGTACAAAATTAAGATCTATTGAAATCAGTGAATTAGAATACATTTTTGCATTCTCAGAGAAGTGTTATGATTTACAAAGCACAGAATGCTATTTAAATTTATATCCTAATTTGAAAAAGAAGAAAAGAAAATAAGTATTGAGTGCCCACTGTGCACCAGATGCACTGTGCTAGGAGCTTGGGAATGGTCATTTGCAAGTATTATTTGAAGAACAGAGATTTTTTTGTTGTTGTTTTCATTTAACATTGCCACTTCAATCCTTATTATGCACTTCTTGATAAAATTGTCATTTTGTAATTGCTAGAAATGGTTTTACCAAACTACTGTTCCATTAGAAGTTTATGATTAGTACAAAATAACTTTCATCCTAACTGCATTGCATCTGTACAAGGAGTCTAATGAAAAGAGTATATAGCATTCAGTGCCAGCCAGTCCTAGGATTCTCCTTTACTATAAGATCGTGAGTTATCTAACCCCTCAATTACACAGATACGAAATAGAAGTAGTAATTCTTCTCTCACAAGGTTATTGTGAAAAGTGAATCTGATATTGCATGTAAACTTCCAAACACAGGGCTTGACACATTAAAGAAAAGCACAAAATTTGTTTCCCAAAAGAATGTACATTCTGGGCCATTGAATAGTTAACAAATAAGTGAATCTTAAGACAAGTTGATACATTCTTTCAACTTTAATTGTTGTTATTAGGTTTGCATGGTCCTAATGAGATAGTCAATTCGTTTCAACGTAGCCAAGAATAGTTTCAACAGAACTCTGAATCTAAGTACTTTCTTGAAAATGGAAAGATTTCCTATTTAGCTCACACAGGGCACAATGATGCTTAGAAAAGCGAATTTTAATCTTCTAGTTATTGGCAAAACTTTTGTTTGTAATGGTAATTTTATGTTTTCAATTTTTTAAAAAATTATGTTGATTCTTTCTACTTGCTTTGTCATAACTATTTACAGACCCTATCCTCTACACTCTGATTCATGAATTTTCTGCTTCTGTTTTTAAACATATTTAATACTTTCTGTTAAGATATTTTTATTAGGCCAGGAGTGATGGCTCACGCCTGTAATCCCAGCACTTTGGGAGGCAGAGGTGGATGGATCATGAGGTCTGGAGTTCGAGACATGCCTGGCAAGCATGGTGAAAGCCCGCCTGTACCAAAAATGCAAAAATTAGCCGAGCGTGGCGGTGCACGCCTGTAATCCCAGCTACTCAGTAGGCTGAGGCAGGAGAATTGCTTGAACCCAGGAGGCAGAGGTTGCAGTGAGCCGAGATGGTATCACTGCACTCCAGCCTGGGGGACAGAGAGAGACTCTATCTAAAAATATATATATTTTAATTAAAGGTTTACAATATTCTCTGTATATGCTCCATGATATAATAGTATAAGTTAATCTTTTAAAAAAGCTCTAGCTTGCATGTTCTGAACACAGATTAGAATGACAGTTCTTCATTTCCAAATGTGGAGGCTTACAGGTGTTATTTCAGTAACAAGAAGAAAATGTCAGTTAGATTTTATTAACCAAAAAGTGACTGAGACTGGTGCCTCAATTGGTAGAGTTTTATGTACCCGAAGTTTCAGGATGTGCCCAGCAAAACAGAAGGGACAGGAGTGTCTGTGTCCTGTGCTTTTTTCCAAAGAGGGTTTTGGGAATTTCAATATTTAAAGAGGCAAGAGCAAACAGGAGGAAAGAAAGGAAGAGAGTGTAGGCAGTAAGGGAAAACTTGTATTTTAACTTCAGGGGTATATGTGCAGGTTTGTTACACAGGTAAACTCGTGTTACGGGGGTTTGTGTTACAGATTATTTCATCACCCAGGTATTAAGCCTAGTACCCATTAGTTATTTTTCATGATCCTCTCCCTCCTCCCACACTCCACCTTCCAAAAGACCCCAGTGTGTGTTGTTCCCCTCTACGTGTTCTTATGTTCTCATCATTTAGCTCCCACTTACAAGTGAGAACATGTGGCATTTGTTTTTCCGTTCCTCCTTGAATTTGCTAAGGGTAATAGTCTCAATCTAAAGAAAATGTGGTACATATGCACCATAAAATACTATGCAGCCATAGAAAACAACATCGTGTCCTTTGCAAATGGTTACGTTCTTTTGTGCCTCCAATTAGTGCTCAGTAAATCTACATTTTACATATAAAAAGAGAGTAGAGAAGAAAAAGTCAGTTATGCATCCCTGTCCCAATTGGTAAATCTCAATTTTACATAAAATAAATATGAAAGGAGAAATTAGAGAAAAAGCCAACTAACTGTGCATTAGTCTCAGAATATGCAGAGGGATGATTTCTGGTCTTGTCCTTGTCCTGTACCTGTGAGGATAAGCTGGTTATTAATATTGTCGGGGGGAGATTCAATGGAGCTTGGTTTTAGGGCTACTTTATAGGGGAGATATACATCCTGATAGACTTAGGGGCTCACAAGGAATTCCACTGTGAGAAATTTGTGAGCGAGGCCATCTGAGGAGATATCTGGCCTTCCATCATTGTGAGAACCTGGCTTATGGATGAAGGTTTTGAAATTACAGCTATACAGTTGAAAACAAAAGGAAACAAATACTGTGTGACTCAGTTCCTAAGCTTCACTTCCTTTTGCATAGTGAATTAGAGGCCCTGAGATTCCATTTTCTTTCACAGTTTAGAGTGTTTGCTAGCTACAGAAATTTACTAGACTTTTTTATTTCATAAACCTCCTTATGTTCATAAACCAGCTAATGTTGTAATTTTCACCATGTCACTACATAAGAAAAATTTCCATTATGTTCTGGGTTTTCTAGAAAAGAAATTGAAGAATTTGAATATTATGGAGTTAGTTAATACAGACCTGTTAAATTACAGTAATAGAATATACTTACTCTCATAACTAACAGTGGTTTCAAGCCTGGGCTTACCATTTTTACTGCTTTTACTACCGTCTGCGTGTGCGTGTGTGGGTGTGCGTGTGCGCGCGCTTTCATGAATTTTGTTCGGTACTTGAAAGTACACAGAAATCATCGAAAGAAATATATTGTAATGATTTTTAATGCCAGAACAATTATTTCAACTTATTAATCAACTTTGTGTATAAAAATACCTCTTCAGTAAGTAACTTTTTCAGAAATAAAAAAGAATAGATTTGAAATGTAGACTTTTAAGAGTGTTTATTTAACTGCATATGTGGTATACAAAACAAAACTAATGAAAGGAAGCAAATAATAAAATAGAAAAAAAGTGCCAGTTGTTCGATTTCTTAGTAATAAAATAAAATTCCATCATGTACAATTTTCTTCCAAAAATTTTCAAGAACAGGAAACCAAATACCACATGTTCTCACTTATAAGTGAAAGCTAAATGATGAGAGCTACTTTTACTTAAGAATTGCGGTGGATAAATGATGAGAGCTATGTTTACTTAAGAATTGCGGTAGATAAACTATTGATTGGGGTGTGTATCTCTTCATCTTAATTTGCAAAAATTATTTTTTAATGATATACACTTTTTAAAAATTTGAAGCAATTCACAAATTTATAGAAAAAGTTATAAGTATGGTTCAGGGAATAGTTTATTCCAAAGCATTTGAAAGTAGGTTAACAACATGATTTTCATCACCTTTCTAATACAGTTTAATGTCTATTACTTATGAACAAGGACATTCTTGATATAACTACAATACAACTATCAAAATCATATATTTTTCTTCTTCAGCCCTGGAATCAGTCATGTCTTTAACCAGTTCTGGTTCCTTTTATTACAAAGTAGTATTTATAAGTCAGGATCTGAGCACTATATTTGCTCTTTGAGATTATGATGTTGCTGCTCCAAGGCCTGTCCTCTCAGTAAATAAGCTAGGGTATGTATGTATTAGTGCATACACAAAAACAAACCAAAGTTTATAGTAGTATTTCTTTTCATAGCTCTATATTTTGAAAACCATGAGCTCATACTGTATTTCAAATTCCAATCTATACTACTGGGTTTATTCTAGTTTTATCCTTTATCATACTTGAATTTCCTTTTTATTCTGATAGTGGAAAACCTAGCTTACATTATGCTTCGTATATTTACTTATTTGATCAGTCCCCCTGTATGTAATTAATCTCCTGACTTTAACTTCAGCCACTCCTCTGCACATATAACCTCATTGTCATGCTCAAGTCTGAGAGTGTGCCCCAACTCATATCTCCATGTGGAGATCCTCCTCATCCTGCATAGTCCTTAATATCCCACACCAGGCTGACCACCACGCTGCTCTCACCCTGCTTGGATGCTGACATCTTGTGCTTAGCCACCTGGCTGCATGTGCCTGATATGGTTTGGATTTGTGTCCTCACCCAAATTTCATGCCAAATAGTAATTCCTAATGGAGAAGGAACCTGGTGGGAGGTGCTGGGATTAGGGGGGCAGATTTCCCCCTTGCAGTTCTTGTGATAGTTAGTTCTCATGAGATCTGGTTGTTTAAAAGTGTGTAGCAGCTCCCATTTCATTCTCTTCCTCCTGCTCCAACCATGTAGGTTGTGCCTGCTTCGCCTTCACCTTCTGCCATGATTGTAACTTTTCTGAGGCCTCCACAGCCATGCTTCCTGTAGAGCCTGTGGAACCATGAGCCAATTAAACCGCTTTTCTTTATAAATTACCCAGTCTAAGGTAGCTGTTTATAGCAATAGGAGAAGAGACTAATAAGGAAAATTGGTACAAGGAGTGGGATACTGTAATAAAGATGCAGCTTTGAAACTGGGTAATGGACAGAGTTTGGAACACCTTGGATGGCCCAGAAGAAGAAAGAAAGATGAAGGAATGTTTAGAACATTATAAAGACTTGTCGTATGGTTGCTGACAGTGATATAGACAATGAAGTCCAGGCTGAGGAGATCTCAGATGGAGATGAGGAACTTATTGGACACTGGAGTAAAGATCACTCTTGTTATGTGTTAGCAAAGAGGTTGGAGGCATTGTGCCCCTGCCCTAGAGATCTGTGGAAGTTTGAGTCTGAGAGTAATGATTTAGGGTATCCAGTGGAAGAAATTTCTAAGCAGCAAAACATTCAAGATTTGGCCTGGCAGCCGGTTGCAGTGGCTCATGACTGTAATTCCAGCACTTTGGGAGGCTGAGGTGAGTGGATCACCTGAGGTCAGGAGTTCGAGACCAGCCTGGCCTACATGGTGAAACCTCATCTCTACTGAAAATACAAAAATTAGCTAAGCATGGTGGCACGTGCCTGGAATCCCAGCTACTCGGGAGGCTGAGACAGGAGAATTGTTTGAACCCAGGAGGCGGAGGCTGCAGTGAGCTGAGATCTCACCACTGCACTCCAGCCTGGTGATAGAGTGAGACTCCGTCTCAAAACAAAGAAAAGATTTGGCCTGGCTGCTTCTAACAATGTATGGTCATATGTTTGAGCAAAGATATGACCTGAAACCACAACTTATATTTAAAAGGAAAGCAGAACATAAAAGTTTAGAAAATTTGCAGCCTGACCATATGGCAGAAAAGATTTTTAAAAAACCTTTTTCTGGGGAGGAATTCAAGCCGGCTGCAGAAATTTGCATAAGTAAAGAGGAGCCCAATGTTAATAGCCAAGATGATGGAGAAAATGCCTGAAAGGCATTTTGGAGACCTTCGCAGCAGCCCCTCCCATCACAGCCCTGGAGGCCTAGGAGGGAAGAATGGTTTTGAGGGCTGGGCTCAGGGCCCTGATACCTTGTGCAACTTTGGGACACTTCTTCCTTTGTCCTAGCCCCTCAAGCTCCAGCCCTGGCTGAGAGGGCCCCAGATATGTCTCAGGCTGCTGCTCCAGAGGGCACAAGCCATAAGCCTTGGCAGCTTCAATGTGGTATTAAGCCTGAGGGTGCACAGATGGCAACAGATGAGCCATGGAAGCCTTAGCCTACAGTTCAGAGGATGTATGGGAATGCCTGGATATCCAGGCAGAAGTCTGTTGCAGGGGAGGGACCCTCATGGAGAACCTCTAACAGGACAGTACCGAGGGTAAATGTCGGTTTTGAGTCTCCACACAGAGTCCCCACCTGGTAATTGCTTAGTGGAGCTGTGAGAAGAAGGCCACAATCCTCCAGACCCCAGAATGGTAGCTCCATTGACACCTTGCAGTGTGCACCTGGAAAAGCTGCAGGCACTCAAATGCTGACCCATGAAAGCAAGGTACAGCTTGGGGGGCTGTACCCTGCAGAGTACAATCTCAGAGCTCATGCCCAGTGCAGTGTCTTCTACCCTGTGTTCCATGTTTGACTACGTTTCACATCCAGGCCACACTAATGCAAGGGGTCGGCTCCCAAGGCCTTGTGCAGCTCTGCCCCTGTGCCTTTGCATGAGGGTGGAGCTGCACAAGGTCTTGGGAGCCCACCCCTTGCATCAGTGTGGCCTAGCTTGGGAACATAGAGTCAAAGGGCATTATTTTGGAGCTTCACAATTTAATGACTACCCTGCTTGGTTTTGGACATGCATGGGGCCTGTAGCCCCTTTGTTTTGGCCAATTTCTCCCTTATAGAGTGGGATCATTTACCCAATGCCTCTACCCCCATTGTATCCTTGAATGACTACCTATTAGGTACTATGCCTATTTCCTAGATGACAAAATTATTTGTAAATCAAACCCCTGTGACATGAAATTTATCCATATAACAAATCTACATACATATCCCTGAATCTAAAATAAAAGTTAAAAAAAAATACAGTTCACATAAATGATTTTCCTGAAACTTTTTAAAAAGCCCAAATAATTGATTTTAAGAAAATATTTTCTTCTGGTTGAATTAGTTTTTCTCTTCTATAATAAACCTCATTGAGAACTTTCTAAAAATCTGTCACACATATATTCTCAGTGACCTGAATCCTGTTGTTATTTTCTTCTGAGTCCACCAGAAATCCTGAAGGACCCTAAAAACGCTATTTGTGGACTAGTTAAGTATGTCAGCAGCTGTAGAGCTTGACAAATCATGACTTCTACACATCGCATCGCAAGATATTTGACCATAGAATTATTACTGAGTTTCAAGAAGGGTGACTAAAGTAATTTTGAAAAAAAAATAGAGAGTTTAGACTACTTGATTTTAAGATAGTATGAAGCTTCAATAATTAAGCCAGTGTGGTACTGGTAAAAAGATAAACTAATAGATCAATGAAATAAAAAAGGGAGCCCAGAAATAGCCCTATACATATATGATCAATTGGTTTTTGTCAAAGGCAGTTCAGTGGAGAAAATGAAGAAAGAATGGTCTTATCCAAAAATGGAGCAGAAACAATTGGACTGCCATAAGAGAAATAAGTAGTTAAACCTTGTCCTATATATTTCTCATAGTATATACAAAATGGATCACAGGCCAAAATGGAAAACCTTAACCTATAAAACAAATAATAGGAAACAAAAGGGAATGTATTTACTACCTTAGCCTTGGGTTAGTTAAATAAATGTGTTTTTAGATATGACACAGGAAGCATGATGCATAAAAGAAAAAAATGATTATCACCAAAATTAAAAATTACTATTCCAGATTCTGCTTCTGCTTCTTTAGCATTTACCTCATAGTCCGGGCAAACTAGACTATGAATTTCCCACTCTGTCAAAATTTGACCTATTCTTCATAACATAACTCTATCTTTCTGGAGCTCCCCAGGTCCAATTGCTATGATACTTTATTGTGTTTCTATACCATTTTGAGTTTATCTCACTTGTTTTATCTTTCAAACTTTGTTTTGCAACTTATATGAATTTTACTGGCTTAAAAACACCTTCAGAACAAAGATCACATCTTCACATTTTCATCTTTTCTTACCCTTAGACCCAACAAGAGGCCTTATATATGCTGGACACTGAATAAATGTTAAAATATATCTCATTACATGGGAGATAAACATTCATTTGTTTTAGGTCACAAGCTATATTCATCTGTATCAAATAGAAGTTATGGGCAAATTTTTCCTTCATATAATTGGACTTGCCTGTTCTATAGTAGAAATTATTCATGGAATATCAGTCTGGTTAGGTAACAAACCCAAATATAGCCTGTTCTGCACACCTGTGTATCCAGAATTTTGGGGCTTCTTATTGCTCTCTATAGTGGGTTAGCTAATTCAACGAAGGCTCAATCATCCCTATGCCTAATCAGGAGAAGAAGAGGTAAGAGCAAGTAGCATTAAAGAAAGAAGAATATACTTCCTTAATGGTGTTCTAGAGAAGGAGCCTTGAGAAGCTGAAGGTATAATTGGAAATCTCAGCAATTCTTGGTTCTCATTTTGAGAGCATCAGCTCCCTGTATGATCATCTACAGCTTTTTCCATTGTAAAATACTGAGTGTATTGGATGACCCTGCTTTAGTAGTAAATACATTGTATTTTTAACTTTATATCTTCTTAAGCAAAGGGATAAAGAGCTGTTTTATTCAACAGGACACTTTCTTGTTATAGTAGATAGAACTTTGTAATGAAGGATGCTGTTGTATAATGAAGGATGCCGTTGTATATTGAGGGTCCTCAAATAAACACATATAAAATGGGCTAGATTCAAAAGGTTAAATTATGTTGTCAATTTTTATATATTCATCTTTTATTAATTGAATCAAATGCAAAACAGTGTTTTCTTGAATTATGGTAGTGCTGATATATTATTTCTGACTCTATAAAGATGGCAAGAAATGTTACACTTAATTCTTTATAATTTGGGTGTATGACTAGAATTAATATAATTTTCCATTATTTGGAATATACATGTTTTAAATGTTTTATTTAGAAATGTAAGAAAGAACATGATATTCTGCATATACAAACTCACTTTTAATCCTAAGTTTATTTTGCACTAAACTAAGATTTTTTTCTATGTTGTCTGACAGAACAGAGTTTATGAATTTCAAGTACAAGCTGAACAAATTAAAATCAGTAACTTGCAGTATAGTATTAAAAATAGCAAAACTACAAAATAAAAAGATTCTGTTTGATTTGTAGATACCAAATAGAAATAAGTATCTTTCCCTTTGGAATCAAGTATAGTGAGTTCTCAAAATAAATGTTTCAAATCTTTTGAAAACTATCCAAAATGCTTGAGATTTTTCTAAGTATCTGAGCCTAGTTTTAGATCTCACCATCTTTTATTATAATTGCATCTGCATAGTGTTTCAGCTGAAACAGATGCAGATAACGGTTAGGCTTATTTGCAGAATGTATTCTTAAAAACATAATATAGGCATAGTTGCTGATTGAAAGTAAGGGGAACAAGGATAATGAAACATATTTAATGTAAAAAGCTCATTCTTCTAATAACTTTACCTTTCTTCAAACACATCTAAAGACATCTTTTTTACCCCAGCTACTAAGAAACAAGAAATGCAATGTTTATTATTTTACTTTCTCTTACTTATATGCCTTCTCTGTTGTAAGAAGTGAGTCAGCTTAAATAAGAGGAAGGTGAAAGAAGTAAAGAAATTGGATACTTCACTAACTTGATAAGCAGATTTTTCAGTAGCAAAAATGTGTGGTTTCAAGAGGAAAAAAATCAATTATTTTTTAAAATATTTTTTAATTAATACATTTCCCACAAATTAACTGCCATGATGTAGTAATCTAAAATGACATAAGATCATTAATTAATAAATACACAGACATTTATTGAACACTGGGTACAAGACACTGCACTGGACACAATCTCTGAGACTGTTGATAAAATAGAATCACTGCTGAGATCACTTCATTTACTGTGTAGATTTGGAAATTCTCACATGCTTTTATATTTCCATAAACTTATAGTTTGGACTCATTTCATTGTAATTTGCATGTTATGTATTAAAGTCATAGTGTGACTATTAAGGACTCTAAAACACAGTTTTCAATAACTTCTCTAATCATTAATTCAGATACTGTTAATCAAATTTTAAAAAGGCTTGAACAGATACTTCGCAAAAGAATATATATGAAAAGATGTTCAACTTCATTAGCTATCAGAGAAATGCAAAGTAAAGCCAGCACTACATAGCCACTAGATGAGCTAAAGTTAAATTGTAGGCAAGGATGTTGAACAAGTAGACTCTCATATATAGCTGGCAGTATTGTAAAATGGTACAACTACTTTGGAAAACAATTTCATACAGTAGTTTCATATGAAGTTAGTAATACACTTACTATATTATCTGTCTATTTCACTCCTAGATTTTCACCGAAAAGAAAGAAAAATGTTTTTCTACACAAATACTTACACATAAATGTTCAAACTAATTCTATTTGTAATAGACAAAACTTGGAAATAGACCAGTTGTTTTTCAATGCATGAATGGTTAAACAAACTGTAACACATCTGCCCATACAATGGAATACCAGCGAGGACAAAGAAAAAACTATTAATATGCACGACCACATACATGGATCTCTAAAACATTATTATGAACAAAAGAAGCCAGACACAAAATAGAATATAAAGTATGATTCCACCAGTATGAAACTCTAGATGTGACAAATCTAACCTATAGTCACAGAAAGCACTATTTTTCTAGGATTGGTAGTGGAGGTGGGGATGGGAATTTACTGCAAAGCAGCATAAGGAATTTTTTGGGGTAATACAAATATCCTATAATTGATTTGGAATGGTAGTTACATGGGCGTATACAGTTTTTAAAACCAGTGAATTGTGCACTTAAAGTGTATGTTTTTCTTGTTGAATATAGACTATACTTCAATAACGTTGATTTTAAAAAGAAAAAATACTGTTATTAAGCATACTCATATAGAATAATGGATATTTTAAATACATAGCCCCTAGATTTACTGCTTTAGCCAATTTTAAGTATACAATATATGTTATTAACTATAGTTACTATGCTGCACATTGGATTTCTGGAACTTATTCATTTTATAACTTAAACTTGAAATTTGCTTAAGGAATAGATCTTAAGTGTTTTCACCACACGCGCGCACACACACACACACACACACACAAATAGTAATTATGTTAAGGGCTAGATATGTTAGTTAGCTTGATTATGGGAATCATTAAACACGGTAAACAAAACATCATGTTGTACATGTTAACTATAAATAATTTGTCAATCACACCTCAATAAAAATTTAAAAAGTAAAAATAAACAAATAAATAGGTAGCCTGTAAAACAATTGAATCAATTTTTGAAATTTATCTAGGTAGGTTAACCATAATATTTATCATCTAAACCAAACACTTTTGAGAGTGAAAGAGGGATGCCTTCAGAATAAGAGGCATAACTGAGGACTGTCCCAGGAAAATAGGGACATATGGTCACTGTAAATATTGGTAATTGTTATAATGTGACTAGCCTCCAATGGCATGGTTTCATTTACTCCTTACAAACTTTCTCTTTTCCTTCCATCTATTTTTGTTTCTCTACTTACTCTACTTAGCTTCTATTCTATTTATTTATCTCCTTCATAGATCACCTATATGTCATGACAGATGACAAATACTGATTTTTTTTTTTTTTTTTTGAGACAGAGTCTCACTCTGTCACCCAGGCTGCAGTGCAGTGGCACAATCTCAGCTCACTGCAGTGGCACAATCTCAGCTCACTGCAACCTCTGCCGCCCAGGTTCAGGCGATTCTCCTGCCTCAGCCTCCCGAGTAGCTGGGATTACAGGCACCTGCCACTGCACCAGGCTAATTTTTGTATTTTTAGTAGAGACGGGGTTTCACCATATTGGTCAGGCTGGTCTTGAACTGCTGACCTCAGGATCCACCCGCCTCGGCTTCCCAAAGTGCTGGGATTACAGGCATGAGCCACCGTGCCCGGCCAAATACTGATAATTTTTACTGAACTATGAAAATACTGTTTTGTTTTTAAATAAATATAAATGTAGCTTCCTTAATGATACTCAAATTACTATACATTCTAGTTACCTATGAGATTCATATTGCAGTTAATTAGATAGCACAGTAACTATAAGGCTGAGTGTAAAGTAAAATGATGCTTAAGCATAACATGACAATTTTTGAATTTCCTATCAGCATTTATCTTCATTTTAGCAGAGAGTTGTATGGTAAGTCCATCTTTGATGGGCTTTTTGAATTTTTATAAAACTAATCTAGAAGATTATGCACATTCTAGGATTTATAAATGTGCAAAGTCATAATCACAAGGAACATCATTTATATGGTTTTCACCACATGAGTCTTGTGAAATAATTGATATAAAAAAATTCCTTGCTTCTATGGCCGTTATCCCTTTTCAACGTATTTGTGAACTCATTCAAGCAAAGGTTAGGCAATTACCTTCCAGGGATACTTGGAGTGACTCTGGCTTTTCAAGACAAGTTGGATAGCTGACCTCTAAGGTTGTTTGTAACTTTCAGTCCTATTATTCTGTTAGAGAGGAGAAAGCGAGGCAGCTAGGCAAAGAACAGATGTGAACGACGCCTACCAAGCAGCTTAAAGTGTTGTATCTCCATTTGCATATAACCTGAATACAAATGCAATTCAATGCATATTTTAAGTTGTGTCATACCTGTGTGACGTTATTTGCAACAGAATATTAAATATTAAATAACAAGTCACACAATACTTTTGATGTTGTATACTTTTGAAGATTTCATGTCTGTCTTAGCATAAATTTTGATCAGAGAGACCCTCTTTAGTTGATAAAAGAGAATTGTTTTTGCTCTTTGTGGAACACATGTGATTTTTTATGCTATGATTTATGTCATTATTAACGTTGCTTTATTTTAGTGGAAGATTGGGGCTATTTACTATATAATTTAAGGACAATTAAGATGCAGAACTTTGAAAAAATATAATGACTGATTACTAAACTGTTTAATAATACTTTTATTTATCTTATTTTTCACCAATACATGTGTAGAGTAAAATAAAAATTAAATTTAGTTTTCTAACTTTTCTCCACTTTGGAGCTCCAACTGATTTTCTTTAAATAAAATGAACTTCTTTCACTGCTAGCTTTGTAGGGAGAAGGAACGTAATTGTCCCGTTATCAGACCAAAGGCCTTTAAAATATTTCATTTGGAATTTGTGACAGAGCTGCATTAGAAAAACTCTCACATCCTTATTTTTGGCTCTCTATGTGGGTATAAGATCATGGATAATTTTCTAAGTATGAAGGCTTTGCTGAAAGGAGAAATTGTAGAATTTCTTTCCATGGAACTTTCTCCTGCATTCTAAGTGAGTGATTTAATATAAAGAATGAATATTGACAAAATCAGAGAGTAATGAAATTTGCTCTGTTTGGCTGTGGATAAAAATGCCACAATAGGTTCACATTTTCTTTCTAAGTGGGGGATACATAATCTTTCATATGAAATATGCCTTTTTATTTTTATCAAATATTCAGTTATTTTGGAAAGAAATATATTTTCAAATCCATATTCTGTCTTTTTTGTCCCTTCCAGGAGCCTTCAACCATTACTTCATTAATGGTTGATGACTAAACTACTCTAAGTCGTCTCCTTAAGCTATATTTATTTGTCCTTTAGAGACGTTTAAGGCATTCATAAATATCATTAAAATTTAAATGATAAGCTGTGTGTTTAACACTGTTTAATAGAAGAATTTTTATCCAATAGTTATTCATTGAGTAATCTGAGAAACATTGAATTAACTTACTTTCCAGATTATGACTTTTTAATTTTTCTCTAGTTTTTTAAACCCCCAAACTAGATATTTGTGAAATGGTTTCTGAGCAGAAATTGCCACATCATGTTCTTTTGCATAGCAACATGCAGCATTTTGTAGTTAAGACTACACCGCAGTAATAATGGAATATTTTTGAAACCATGTTGGTTATAGCAGTAGCTCAAATATCATGAGTGTAAGATATGTTTACTCACATCATTTTCATAGAAACAAAATGTATGATTCGAATTTTTTTTTAAATCTCTATGGCAATTTTCTCCAAATTGTTTTCCCACACCGTAGCATTCTTACAGAGGAGTGGAAAATCAGGTTGTATGCATCTGCAGTCTCCTGCAAAGTAAGCATGACAGGATGAGGAAAAGTGCTTCCTCCATTAAACCCAAGAGTACAGAAAATAGCTGTAGTTTGATCTAACACAGTATCTTTTTCTTTGTAAGCCATCCCTACAAAAAACTGCCACGTGCAAAAAAATTCTTAGTGTTTGTATTTTTCACAATATTTGTCACACACAACTGTAACCTCTCCTACTGTGAACTAAATAGCCTTTTCCATATTCTCAGAGAGCAGCACTGTTCAGTATGCAGTAACTCGTTTTTATCCTTAAGCAGCAAAGTGTGAGACAACTCTCTATGTACCCATTAGTATAGCCACATAAATGTGTTTGGTTAGGTTTACCCCTTGTTTAATCTTAAAATAGACTACAAATGCAGAGGGCAAATGAAAATAAATTACATAGCAATTTAAATTATTAAATTAATAGAAAAATAATATTTGAATAGTGTTAGCTACCTAAGTAGCCTACAATTCATGACAATTAATTTGCATAAAGAAAATTAAATTAGTATATACATTTTTCCAATTTGAAATATGTTTCTAGGACAATGCTGCCTGGAGGTTGTTTCTCTATTCTTTCTTTTCCTGCAATAATGCACCTATGAATGTGTTGAGAACTGTGAAGGGTCTAAGATTTTACCCTTCTTACAAGCTAATGAGTTAGGCTGCCATAGTTTCATGGATACTGGCAGAAGACATGAGACATCAGTCAGAAAAAGTAAGTTTTTTACTAATGTCAATAACAGTAGCCAGAGTGTCGGCATCAGCATTTGTCCCAGTTCTGTAAGCCTTAGTTCTCACAGAGTGATGTAAGAGGTTCACATGATGCCTATACATGCAATAGGTTACATTACAGAAAAGGAACCCTGAGCTCAGGGAACTTAAACTTTTTTCAGAGTCAGTAAGCCTATGCGATTATTGTCATGGAGGGAGACATTGTCTTTATTATACTGGACAGTAAACAAAACTGTTCCATGCTCTGGGGGAGAAATTATCCCTATCTTCTAAAGCAGTTCATGATATAAGCATTCTCAAAAAGATAGTCTGGAAGAAAGTCAGACAATGACTCTCTTTGCAAGACGTGCAGCAATGTGAGAAACCTACAGATAATTGTCTCCTAACTGTGTGTGTCTTTTAGCCAACATAAAAAGGAATAGAAAAATCTTAGATAAAATAAATCACTATATACTTGATTTAAAAGAGTATTTTGACATTTTGCAATTAGAGATTGTTTTCTTTTGATGTAACTATTTGAAGAAGGATTATCCAAATAGTCCAAAGTTTCACTATTGTAACTAGGAAATTTTCCACTGGCCTATGATCCTCAGATAGGCATAAAAGAAATAGGTGTAGAGAAAGAAGAAGGCTTATTCTGTCAACAAAGGACAATGTTCAATAATATAAAAATAATTTTTCAACTCTACAGTAATTATTCTGGATACACTGCCACAGATTCCTAACAAATAATAGTAAGGGCTATTATTGATTTTAAAGGCTGACCTATAGTGTCCAGGGCATAAATACACAAACAGTTTTAAGAGTTCTTAAGAGTGATTTTCATAATATGGCACTTTAGAGTATGTTGAAACACATTATCAATATTAAAATGTCCCAAAGTTATGTTCCTAAGAGGCTATTATTTCTAAGTCAGTGTGATTGAAAATATAAGCAAGGGACCAACGTCTTCTCTCTTCTAGACATGAACGCGAAATAATGCCATTTGGTTCATAGTAAAGGCGAGTAGCTGTCTATGAATGATGTGTTGCTGTGTACCTATTGATACTTAATGTTTTGTGCAACGATATAGGTTTACAGTGTTAAGATGACGTTGGTTGTAAATATGTTCATATCATTATGTATTTTTCCTACTATTTAGTAGCAACTTCACTGTATTCATATTTATTATCTACGTGTATTATTTACTCTGTTTCAGTGGTAGAAAAGAATTTGAAAAATGATCTTGATGAAATTCATTTAGAAACCATATTAAACATATTGCATGTTAATGTCTTATAAACAAAACTTTTTTTTTGATACATAGTGTCTCTCTGTCACCTAGGCTGGAGTGCTGTGGTGAGGTCTTGGCTCACTGCAACCTCCACCTCCCAGGTTCCAGCGATTCTTGTGCCTCAGCCTCCCAAGTAGCTGGGATTACAAGCACATGCCATCACAACCGGCTAATTTTTGTATTGTTATTAGCGATGGGGTTTCACCATGTTGGCCAGGCTGTTCTCCAACTCTTGACCTCAAGTGAGCAGCCTGACTTGGCCTCCCAAAGTGCTGTTACAGGCGTGAGTCACCATGCCCGGCCAGAAACAAAACATTTGAACAGTAATGATTACTTTGTCACCATGAACTTGGTTAGAAGCTGATTCATAGGCAAGATTCCTAAAACATTTGCCATCTTTCTCAATTTCATGTTCTACTTCTTTGTCTGTTAGTGTAACATTAAATGCTTCCCTATGCAAATAGTACATATTGTTAAAGCCTTTCAATTCTAGATAATCAAATGTCATTCAGTGTATACACACTTTTTATAGTACACTGATTTGTTTCTTTTCTGTTTTAGATATTCTACCAACTATCAAAGTATAAAGAAGAGTAAGTATTATACCCGAGGTAAAAGTGTTATAGGAATATAGAGAAGAAAAAATTGATTTTTAACAGAAAGCTTCATGAAAATGGTAATATTCTAGCTGAACCTTGAAGGTTGAATATGATTTCTGGGGCATCGAATATTGAGCATGAAGCTATAGATAAAGAGATCATTGTGGCCAGAACACAAGTAACATAGAAGGATATAACAGAAAATGAGACTGGAAAGTTTGTATGGCCAGGACACCTTGAATGCTTTGCTAAGACGTATTGATGCAATTTCCTGCATAGTGAATATACACAAAATATTTCTGAGCTGAGTAGTGGCATAACCTTACCTGTTGAGAATAACCCTAGCAAAAATAATAGAGAAAGGAGAAATAATTGGGAGCTTTGGTAACACTCTGGGCAAGAATTAATAAAGGTGTGACATATGACCATGGATAGGAAAGAAAAGATATGAAAACATGGTGGAAGCATGATTAGAAGGTCTTTCAATTAAATGAATGTGGAATGAAAGGAAAGAGTTACAATGATTTTGAAATTTCTAATATGTTATTTTTAAAGCATGTTATTTTAAAGGTGAGAACTGAAATAACAAGGAGTAGGACCACAAGAGGAAGAACAGGTTTGGTGACTCAGATAAGTTTGGTATTAGAAATGTCAGGTTTGGGATCCTAGTGGGATATTCACAAGGAGACACATGCCATGCCATATGTTGAAAATGAGTCTAGAGCTTGAAAGAGGAAGCAGGGCAAGAATTATAGATGAGGTAGTCATCAGCCTGTACGTCATAACGTTATTGTGAAGAGCAAGAAAAAAGATTTTTAAAAATGAGATAGTGTTTACAATGGTGTTGATGAACAGTGTCAAATACCCAGCGAGGATTGAGAAGAAGCATTTGGTCTTGACAGTTAGGAGATAACCAATTACCTGCAAGAAAGGCACTTTCATTTTGAATGAAAACTCGATAATGAGGAACAAAGAAACAGTTTGTAAGAAAATGAAAACCAATTCTAGATCACACTTTTTAAAAGTTTTGAATGTGAAGGGAAGGGGAGATGTAACATGATAATATGGCAATGTAAGATTTTGATTTTTTGTCTTTATTTTTAAGGAAAGTTGAGTAAGTTGATAATGCTTTTAACTAAAAAGGCTGACTGGAAAATAGGTTGGAATATTACAAGTAAGTATATATTGAAATATCACTCCAAATGAAAGGACACTGATTATGTCACAGGCTTAATATTTTGACATAACACTGGCATTATTTCCCAAAGAGCCACATTAGAGAACTTGAGTTCATTATAAGAACATATTCACAACTCCTCAGTGTTTAAATATTAGATTCCACTCCCTAACTTTCTATATTTTCATTTTTCATTAGAAAATATTTTATAAATACCTAATTTTATTCATATTTAACCCATAGTGAACCAGACAGAAAGTATTACAAATGTTTTAAGACCAAATAAATATAAAAACTTGTAATCTACATCTTTCTACTAGAAAATAATTTTGAATAACTGTAAAACACATTATTAAGAAGTCTTGGCTTGGTGTGGTGGCTCATGCCAGTAATCCCAGCACTTTGGGAGCTTGAGGCAGGAGGATTATTTGAGCTCAGTAGTTCTAGAACATCCTAGGAATCATAGCAAGACTTTGTCTCTACTAAAAATAAAAACAAAAAAAAATGGAGACAAAAGCCAGGATGGCTGACTAGATGCAACCAGGAAGAGCATCTCTCACCAAAATACCAGACCATCGAGAAGATCAGCATACTCCAAGCAGATCTTCAGAAGAAGGGCATTGAGAGTGGACAGAAGGAGAATGCAGACTCTGGACTGAAAGAGGAGAAAGCTGAGAACCCTGCATGAGGCTGACAAACACCAGGACTAGTTCCTGGTCCCAAACAGCTCTTGGGAAAGGGATGAGTTAAACAGGCGAGAAGTGGTCCAATCTGACCACAGACTTGTAGAATCCTAGCTGCAGGAGATCTGATAACCCCCATGGATATTTGACCTGAAAGGGAGGGCTGCTTTAAGAAGTATCAGGGACAGGACTCCAGACTGTCTGGAGCCCAGATGGTTTGGCGAAGGAATGGCTGCAGATGAACATGGCCAGGAATGCCCGTTCCCCAAGGCTTGCCATGCTTTTCTAGGTGAGATTGGCCTTTGTTGACTATTGGACTTGGAATAAAACAGGGTAGTCTTGCCCATGAGATGGGGCCAGTATGACCTGAGAACCTCCCTGTCTGCCAGCCTCTCTCAGGGATCATGCCTAGCCATGCCCACTAGCATTGTAGCCTTGAACGCTCAACAGGAGTGCTTCCTGGCAGCTGCCACCACAGCTCCTTCACTAGCAGACCTTTCATAACTGTCAGAGAGCTTCAGCTGACAGGCCCCAACAAACATGCCCCCACCCACCAGAAGCCTCTTCCTATTGCTTTGCTGGAACATACTCACCCACAGTCCCCTCCACTGCTCTGTCAGTGCGTATATGTGGACTGTCTCATTGCCACTGGCATGCATGAGTGGTTATGTTGAACTGCTGCTCTGCCTCCACTATTGTGCACTTGGAACACACAGAGCCACCACCACAACCAGTACACCCTGATGCCTTCAGTGATTAAAGGAACATCAGCCCACACAGATGGGAAAGAACCAGTGTAAGAACTCTGGCAACTCAAAAAGTTAGAGTGTTTTCTTACTTCCAAAGGACTGCACTAGCACCCCAGAAATAGTCCTCAACCACGTGGAAATGGCTAAAATAAGAGACATAGAATTCAGAACCTGGATAGGAACAAAGATCATCAAAATTCAGGAGAAAGTAGAAACCCAATCAAAGAAACATAAGGAATTTAATACATCAATATAAGAGCTGAAAGATGAAATAGCCATTTTAGGAAAGAACCAAACTAAACTTCTAGAGCTAAAAATTCACTACATGAATGCCATAATATAACTGGAAGTATGAACAACAGAATAGACCAAGCTGAGGAAAGAATCTCGGAGCTCAAAGACAAGTTCTTCAAATCAACTCAGTCAGACAAAAATAAAGAAAAAATAAGAATCAATGAGCAAAACCTCTGAGAAATATGAAATTATGTAAAGAGACCAAACCTGCAACTCATTGGCATCCCTGTAAGAGAGGGAAAGAGAGCAAGAAACTTGAAAAAAATATTTGAGGATATTGTCCATGAAAATTTCCCCAACATTACTAGAGAGGTCAACCTTCAATTTCAGGAAATGCAGAGAACCCCTGTGAGACACAGGTTATGGGATAACCATCCCCAAGACACCTAGTCATCAGATTATCCAAGGTCAACACAAAAGTAAAAATATTAAAGGCAGCTAGAGAGAAGGGACAGATCACCTACAAAGGTAACCTTATCGGGCTAACAGCAAACCAGTTAGCAGAAATCCTACAAACAAGGAGAGATTGTGGGCCTACATTGAGCATCAAAAATTAAATTCCAACCAAAAATTTAATGTCCAGCTAAACTAAGCTTCATAGGCAAAGAAGAATAATTTTTTCAGATAAGCAAATGTTAGGAAATGTATTACCACCATACCTGCCTTACAAGAGGTCCTTAAGGGAGTGCTAAACATGGAAACAAAATACCATTACTGGCCACTACAAAAACACACTTAAGTCCATAGACCATTGACACTGTAAAGTAACTAAACAATCAAATCTGCAAAACAACCAGATAACAACATGAAGACAGGATAATATTTGCACATATCAATATTTAGTATATTTAGTGTGTTTAGTCCATTTACATACTATCAATGCTTAGTTGATAAACTATCAACACAGTCCATTTACATTACCTTGAACATAAGTGAACTAAACACATCACTTAAAGTTACAGAGTAGCAAGTTGGATAAAGAAGCAGGAACAAACCGTACGTTGTCTTTGAGAGACCCATCTCACATGCAATGACATCCGTAGGCTCAACATAAGGGAAAAGAGAAAAATATCCCAAGGAAATAGGAAAAAAAATGCAGGGGATCCTGCTTTAAATTCAGACAAAACAAACTTTAAACCAACAATGATCCAAAAAGACAAAGAAGGGCATTACATAATCATAAAGCATTCAATTCAACGAGAAGAGTTAACCTTTCTAAATATATTTGCACCCAACACTGGGGTCCACAGATTTGTAAAACAAGTTCTTAAAGTTCTTAAAGAGACTGATAAACACACAATAATAGTGGGAGACTTCGATAACCCACTGACAGTATTAGATGGATCATTGAGGCAGAAAATTAACAAAGATATTCATGACCTAAATTCAACACTTGACCAAATGAACCTAACAGACATCTCCAGAACACTCTACCAACAACAGCATGATATACATACTTCTCATCTACACAGGGCACATACTCTAAAACTGACCACACAATTGGCCATAAAACAACAAATTCAACAAAGAATCAAATAATACCAACCACACGTTCAGACCACAGTGAAATAATCATAGAAACCAGCACTAAGAAGATCTCTCAAAGTCACATGATTACATCAAAATTAAACAACCGTCTTCTGAATGACTCCAACAAATGTCAGGTATCTAGAATCTATAAAGGACATAAACAAATGAACTTGCCAAAAGCAAACAACCTCATTTTAAAAATGGGCAAACGACATGAACAGACTTTTGTTTTTGTTTTTTGTTTTTTGTTTTTTTTTGCGATGGAGTCTCACTCTGTCGCTCGGGCTGGAGTGCAGTGGTGCGATCTTGGCTCACTGCAACCTCTGCCTCCCAGGTTCAAGCGATTCTCCTGCCTCAGCCTCCAGAGTAGCTGGGGTTACAGGCGCTGCCACTATGCCCAGCTAATTTTTTGTATTTTTAGTAGAAACAGTGTTTCACCATGTTGGCCAGGGTGGTCTCGAAATCCTGACCTCGCAGACATTTCTTAACAGAAGTCATAAACATGACCAACAAGCATGTGAAAAAATGTTCAACATCCCTAGTAATTGGAGAAATGAAAATCAAAACCACAAAGAGATACCATCTCACACCAGTCAGAATGGCTATTACTAAAATGTCAACAAAATAACAGATACTGAAAAACTTGGGAATGCTCATAAACTGCTCATGGGAATGTAAATTAGTTCAGCCACTGTGAAAAGCAGTTTGGAGATATCTCCAAATACTTAAAACAGAATTACCATTTGACCCAGCAATCCCATTACTTGGTATATACCCAAAGGAATATAAATTATTCTACCATAAATACAGGTGTACACATATATTTATTGTAGCAATATTCACAACATTGAAGACAAGGAATCAACCTAAATGCTCATGAATGGTAGACTGGATAAAGAAAATGTGGGACATATACACCATGGAATACTATGCAGCCATGAAAAGAACCATATCATGTCCTTTGCAGCAATGTGGATGAAGGTGGAGGCCACTATCCTAAGCACATTAGCACGGAAACAAAAAACCAAATACCGCATCATCTCACTTATAATTGGGAGCTAAACATTGAGTACAAAGGGACACAAAGAGGATAACAATAGATACCAAGGTCTACTTGAGGTTTGAGGGTAGAAGGAGGGTGAGGATTAAAAAAAAAAAAACACTATCTATTATTTGCTATGCTTATTACTTGGGTGACAAAATAATCTTTACACTAATTCCCCATGACAGGGAATTAACCCATGTAATAAACCTGCACATGTATCCCCTGAACCTAAAATAAATTTGGAAAGAAAAAAAGCTGGGCTTTGTGGCACGTGCCTATAGTCCCAGCTGCTCAGGAGACTGAGGTGGGAGGATTGCTTGAGCTGGGGAGATTGAGGCTATAGTGAGCTATGATCATGTCACTGTACTCTAGTCTGAGCCACAGAAGGAGACTATGTCTCAAAAAAATACTTTTACCAGGAAGAAGTAATAGCAACCATAGGGTGTACAACCCTACATTGTTATTGGAATACTTACATTCTTGCTATTTGCATAATTTTACAACAAGAAACTTTATTGTTTTCACTGAGCCTTTTATTTGTTAAGATCTACCTCCAACTTGATTTCTTAGTAAAATATACTAATACCAGTATGACAGATATATCTATCAAATAAATGCAACAGAGAGTCGGTGTATTAATAAAATCCTAATATAACAGAATCATATTAAAACCTGTATTGTTTCGGTTTTAAAAATGGAAATAAAAACATTCTACCCTAAATTAGAAAACAGTCTTTATTTCAGAATTTTAAGTAAAAATTATCCATTATACACAAGTTGCCAAAATCTGATGATTCTCCCCTATTTCTCATATTTCCACTTTCTGTTCATCATCTTTACTATATGTTCTCTGTATCAGTGAATTAAAAACCACCCATTTAGTTGCCTTACGTACGTACATAGGAATCATCCTTGATAGCTGTATTCTCCCTACCATCTATTCAATTACTAAGCCCGTCTATTATGGCTATTCAATTTTAAATTAGTTCAGACCACCATTACAGTCACCTGTATTACGACCACAGTACTAACTCACCTTCCTTACTCTGATCACATCACTTCAGTGGTCAATGTTAATCTTTTTCATTGCTCTTAAAGTTCAGATTCCTTACATGACTTACCAAGCTTATAAATGCCTTGACAGCTACATCTTCCTTTGATCATGTCCCTGTTCACTCTTCATCCTACATTTTATGTCTACAGCCATATTGAATTGATTTGATTCCTCCAACTTTATCTATATGCCTTTCCTATACATTTACACAAGTTAGAATATATGTCTGAAATAGACTTATTCATTTCATCTAAATTCAAATTCTATTCACCTAGCTAATACCTTCCGAACCTGAGCATCACTTTTTCTATAAAGTTTTCCTGGCTCCCTCTCCCCAACATCTTGGTTTCATGTCCCCTCAATATCTTATCTAAGTACACTGAGATTTTTGTTACAGCATTTAACCCTGAACTATTACTGTCTATCTCAATAGGTGCTTGTTCATGATTTTTTAAATTGTGACAAAAAACACAAAACATGAGATCTACCATCTCAATAAATTTTGAAATGTATAATACGATATTGTTCATTATAATCAAAATGTTGTATAGCAGATCTTCAGAACTTTTTCATTTTGCATAACTGAAACTTTATGCCAATTGAACAGCAGGTTCCCATTTTCCCCTCTGCTCAACCCTTGGCAACTACCATTTTACTTTCAGCTTGTATGAGTTTGACTACTTTAAATACCTCATATAAGTGGAATCACGTAGTATTTGTCCTTCTGTGATGGCTTATTTACTTAGGATAGTGTCCTCCAGGTTCATGGGGATTGTCGCATATGGCAGTATTTCCTTCTTATTAATACTGAGTATTTCAATGTGTATATATATATATCACATTTATTTATTCATCCATCTATCAATAAATATTTAGGTTCTTCCACAATTTTGCTATTATAAATGCAATGCAATGAGCATAAGTACACAAATACCTCTTCAAGATTCTGATTTGGGCCAGTCGCGGTGGCTCATGCCTGTAATCCCAGCACTTTGGGAGGCTGAGGAGGGCAGATCATGAGGTCAGGAGATCGAGATCATCCTGACTAACACGGTGAAACCCCGTCTCTACTAAAAGTACAAAAAATTAGCCAGGCGTGGTGGCACGTGCCTGTAGTCCCAGCTACTCGGGAGGCTGAGGCAGGAGAATCACTGGAACCTGGGAGGCAGAGTTTGCAGTGAGCCAAGATCATGCCACTGCACTCCAGCCTGGGTGACAGAGTGAGACTAAGTCTCAAAAAAAAAAAAATTCTGATTTCTTTTGATTAAATACCAAGAAATGAAATTGCCAATTATGTGGCAGCTCTATTTTTAACTTTTTGAGGAACTGTCATACTGTTTTCCAAAACAGCTGCATTACTTTACATTCCCACCAGCAGATAAGAAGGTTTCCATTTTATTCACATCCTTGGCGACACTTCTTTTCTGTTTATTTTATTTTATTTAAATTTATAATGACCATCCTAACATGTGTGAGGTGACATCTCATTGTGGTTTTGATTTGTGTTTGTCTGATGATTAGTGGTTGATATGGTTTGGATCTGTGAACCAACCCAGATCTCATGTTGAATTGTAATCCCAATGTTGGAGGTGAGGCCTAGTGGGAAGTGATTTGCTTATGGGGGCGCATTTCTCATGATGGCTTAGTACAGTCCCTTGGTACTGACCTCATGATAGTGAGTGAGTTCTTGTGAGATCTGATGGTTCAAAAGTGTGTGGCTTCTCTCTTGCTCCTGCTCTGGCCATGTGATATGCATGCTCCCCCTTCATTCACCTTCCACCATGATTGTTAAGTTTACTGAGGCCTCCGCAGAAGCTGAGCAGATGCCAGCATCATTCTTTCTACACAGCCATCAGAATGGTGAGACATTAAGCCTCTTTTCTTCATAAATTACCCAGCCTCGGGTATTTCTTCATAGCAATGTGAGAACTGACTAATACAGTGGTTCTGAGCATCCTTACATGTTTGTTGGCCATTTGTATATCTTCTTGAAAGAAATATCCATTCAAGCTTTTTGCCAATTTTTTTCAACTTTTATTTTAGGTTGAGGGGGTATATGTTCATGTTTGTTACAGAGGTATATTGCATAATGCTGAGGTTTGGAGTACAAAGGAATCCATCACCCAGGTATTGCACATAATATTCAATAGGCAGCTTTTCAGCCTTTATTTCCCTTTTCCCCCTTGTATTCCCAGTGTCTATTGTTCTCATATTTATGACCATGTGTACCCAAAGTTTAGTTTCCACTTATAAGTGAGAACACATGGTATTTGGTTCTATGATTCTGCATAGTTCTCTTAGGATAATGGTTTCCAGGTGCATCCATGTTGCCCTTTGCCTATTTTTAAATCAAATTATTATTTTTTTGTTATTTAGTTGTAGGGGTTTGTGATAAATTTTGTGGATATTAGCCTTTACTCAAATATAAGGTTTGAAAGTATTTTCTCCCATTCCATAGATTGTCTTTTGGATATTAGCCCCCAGCCCCCTATCAGATACATGGCTTGCAAATATATTCTCCTATTCTGTAGGTTGCCTTTCACTCTGTTGATGGTTTTTTGGTGTGTGGTTTTTTGTTGTTGTTGTTTGTTTGTTTGTTTTTCTCTGCAGAAGTTTTTCAGTTTGATCAAGTACAATTTGCCTGTTTTAGCTTTTGTTGCCTGTGCATTTGGTGCCATACCCAAGATCTATGTCATGAAGCTTTTCCTCCATTTTCTCTTATGAGTTTTAGAGTTTCAGGTCTTATGTGTAAGTCTTTAATCTATTTGGAGTTGATTTTTGTGTATGGTGTAAGATAATAATCTAATTTCATTGTTTTCCATGTATATATACAGTTTTCCCAACACTATTTGTGCAAGAGTCAATCCTTTTCCCATTGTGAATTCTTGACGCACTCGTTGAAGATCAGGTGACCATATGTATGTGTGTAGGATTATTCCTGGGCTTTCTATTCTGTTCCATTGGTCTATATGTCTATTTTTTATGCCAGTACCATACTGTTTTGATCATCATAGCATTGTAATATGTTTTGAAATCAGTAAATGAATGGCTTTCAGCTTTTTTTTTTTTTTTTTTTTGAGGATTGTTTTGGCTATTTGGATTCCTTTGGTGGTTTTACATACATTTTAGGATTTTCTGTCTATATCTAAAAAAGGATGCCAAGGGGATTTTGATGGGGATTTCATTGAATGTGTATACAGCTTTGAGTATTATGAACATTTTAAATCCAGAAACACAGGATGGGGTGTCTTTCCAATTATTTGATATTGTGAGTAATCATTTTCTTAATTTTTTTCTTGGATTTCTTTTGGTTAATGTGTAGAAATACAATGCAATTTTGTAGTTTGATTCTGTATTCTGCAATGTTACTAAATTTGCTTGTTAGTTTCAAGGGTACTTTGTGGAATATTTTGGATTCTGTACATAAAGGAACATGTCATCTGCAAACAGAGATAATTTTAATTCTTCTGTATTAATTTGGATGCTTTTTATTTCTCTCTCTTTCTTACCTAATTGCTGTGTCAAATAGAAGTGACTAGAGTGGACATTCTTGCCTTATTCTTGATCTTAGAGGAAAAGGTTTCAGTTTCATTACTATTGAGTAAGATATCAGTTGTGGGCTTTTCATAAATGGACTTTATTATATTGAGGCAATTATTTCTATACCAAATTTATTGACTAATTTTATCATGAAAGTGTATTGAATTTTGTCATATGCTTTTTCTGATATCTACTGAGTTGGTGATGTGATTTTATCCTTTGTTTTGCTAATGTGGTGTATCACATTGATTGATTTGCATATGTCAAATCATTCTTGTATCTCAGGCATTAATCATTTGTGGTTATGGTTTACAATCCTTTTAATGTGCTGTTAAATTTTGTTTGCTTGTGTTTTGTTTAGCATGTTTGCCTCTATGTTCATCAGGGATATTGGTTTGAAGTTTCCTTTACTTGAAGTGTCTGCCTGGTTTTGGTATCAGGGTAATGACGGGCTTATGAAGTAACTTTGGAAGTGTTTCCTCCATTTCAAATTTTTGGGAGAATTTGAAAAGGATTGGTTAATTTTTGTTTAAATATTTGATATAATTCACCAGGGAAGCCATCTCTTTCTGGGCTTTCCTTTGATAGGAGGTTTTAAAATACAGATTCAATCCCCTTACTAGTCTATTTAAATTTTCTCTTTCTTCATGATTTCGTATTTTGTCGGTGGTGTGTTTCTAGAAATTATGTCATGTCATTTATCTTTTTCATTTTGTTGGTGTATAATTGTTTATAGTATTTTTAATAATCATTTTTATTTCTGTAAACTGAGTTGTAATGCCCCGTCTTCCATATCTGATTGAGTTTTGGGGCTTTTTCTTTTTTTCAGATTTTGGTATGTTTTTGCAGTGGCTGGTACCAGTTTTTCTTTTCCATATTTAGTGCATCCTTCGGGATCTCTTGTAAGGCAGTACTGGTGGTGACCAAATCCCTCAGCATTTGCTTGTCTGTAAAGGATTTTATTTCTCCTTCACTTATAAAGCTTAGTTTGGCTGGATATGAAATTCCAGGTTGAAAATTCTTTTCTTTAAGATTGTTGAATATTGGCCCCCACTCTCTTGTGGCTTGTAGGGTTTCTGCAGAGAGATCTGCTGTTAGTCTCATGGGCTTCCCTTTGTGGGTAACCTGACCTTTCTCTCTGACTACCCTTAACATTTTTTCCTTCATTTCAACCTGGGTGAATCTGACGATTATGTGTCTTGAGGTTGCTCTTCTCAAGGAGCATCTTTGTGATGTTCTCTGTATTTCCTGAATTTGAATGTTGTCCTGTCTTGCTAGGTTGGGGAAGTTCTTCCAGATAATATTCTGAAATGTGTTTTCCAACCTAGTTCCATTCTCCCTGTCACTTTCAGGTACACCAATCAAACGTAGGTTTGATCTTTTCAGATAGTCCCATATTTCTTGGAGGCTTTGTTCGTTCCTTTCCAATCTTTTTTCTCTAATCTTGTCTTCACACTTTATTTCATTAAGTTGATCTTCAATTTCTGATATCCTTTCTTCTGCTTGATCAGTTTGGGTATTGACACTTGTGTATGCTTCAAGAAGTTGTCGTGCTGTGTTTTTCAGCTCCATCAGGTCATTTATGTTCTTCTCTAAACTGGTTACTCTAGTTAGCAGTTCCCGTAACCTTTTATCAAGGTTCTTAGCTTCCTTGCATTTTGTTAGAACATGCTCCTTTAGCTCAATGGAGTTTGTTATTACCTGTTTTCTGAAGCCTACTTCTGTTAATTCGTCAAACTCAATTTCCATCCAGTTTTGTTCCCTTGCTGGCAAGGAGTTGTGATCCTTTGGAAGAAAAGAGGCATTCTGGTTTTTGGTATTTTCAGCATTTTTGTGCTGGTTTTTCCTCATCTTCGTGGATTTATCTACCTTCGATCTTTGATGTTGATGACGATCGGATGGGGTTTTTGCATGGGTGTCCTTTTTGTTGATGTTGATTTTATTGCTTTCTGTTTGTTGGTTTTCCTTCCAACAGTCGGGCCCCTCTTCTGCAACTTTACTGGAGTTTGCTGAAGGTCCACTCCAGAACCTGTTTGCTGGGTATCACCAGCAGAGGCTGCAGAATAGCAAAGATTGCTGCCTGCTCCTTCCTCTGGAAGCTTTGCTCCAGAGGGACACCCGCCAGATGCCAGCTGGAGCTCTGCTGTATGAGGTATCTGTCGACCCCTGCTGGGAGGTGTCTTCCCAGTCAGGAGGCACAGGGGGTCAGGGACCCACTTGAGGAGGCAGTCTGTCCCTCAGCAGAGCTCAACCACTGTGCTGGGAGATCTACTGCTTTCTTCAGAGCTGGCAGTCAGGAACTTTTAAGTCTGCTGAAGCTGTGCGCACTGCCACCCATTTCCCCAGGTGCTCTTTCCCAGGGAGATGGGAGTTTTATCTATAAGCCCCTGACTGGGGCTACTGCTTTTCTTTCAGAGATGCTCTACCCAGAGAGGAGGAATCTAGAGAGGCAGTCTGGCTACAGAGGCCTTGCTGAGCTGTGGTGGACTCCACCCAGTTTGAACCTCCCAGTGGCTTTGTTTACACTGTGAAGGGAAAACCGCCACTCAAGCCTCAGTAATGGCCGTTGCCCACCTGCCCACCTCCCCACCAAGCTAGAGCATCCCAGGTCGACTTCAGACTACTGTGCTGGCAGCAAGAATTTTAAGCCAGTGGATCTTAGCTTGCTGGGCTCCATGAGGGTGGGACTCACTGAGCAGGACCACTTGGCTACCTGGCTTCAGCCCTCTTTCCAGGGGAGTGAATGGTCCTGTCTCACTGGGGTTCCAGGCACTACTGGGGTACAAAAAAGTCTCCTCCAGCTAGCTCAGTATCTGTCCAAATGTCTGCCCAGTTTTGTGCTTGAAACCGAGAGCCCTGGTGGTGTAGGCACCCAAGGGAATCTCCTGGTCTGCAGGTTGCCAAAACCTTGGGAAAATCATAGTATCTGGGCCGGATAGCATCATCACTCAAGGCACAGTCTTTCAAGGCTTCCGTTGGCTAGGGGAGGAGTTTCCCAACCCCTTGTACTTCCTGGGTGAGGCGATGCCCCACCTGCTTCTGTTCGCCCTCTGTGGGCTGCACCCACTGTCTAACCAGTCTCAATGAGATGAACCAGGTACCTCAGTTGGAAATGCAGAAATCATCCATCTTCTGTGTTGGTCTCACTGGGAGCTGCAGACCAGAGCTGTTCCTATTCAGTCATCTTGCCAGATCCCCAGGTCTTTTCTGTTTTCATTAGTCAATATACCTAAAGATTTCTCAATACTTTGAGCTTTTCTAAAAATAAATTTATTTTTGTTGATTTTTCTATTGTTTTTCCATTCTCTATTTTGTTTGTCTCTACTCTATTTTTATTATTTTCTTCCTCTAGTTTTTAGTTTAGTTTGCTCTTCTTTTTCTAGTTTCTTAAATTGTAAAGTTAGGGTGCTGTTTTGAGATTTTTTTCTCTTTTCATGTTTACAGCTATACATTTTCCTTTAGTATATTGCACTTTATATTTTCTTGTCTCAGGATATTTTATAATTTCCTTTGTGATTTATTGTTTGATCCATTGATTTTTACAGAGGGTATCTGTTTATTTTTACATTTTTTCAGTTTTCTTTCTTTTATTGATTTTTTATTTTATTTCATTGTGATAGGAAATGCTTTGTATGATTTTTTTACCTTTATTAAGAAAGAAACATACATAGTGCTTGCATACACAGAAACAATATCCAGGATGAGAGGGAAATGAAGAATACAATCTCATTTACAATAGCCACAAAGAAAATGAAATATCTAGGAATATATCTAACTAAGGAGGCAAAAGATCTCTACAAGGAGAACTACAGAACACTGCCGAAAAACATCAGATACAACACAGTAATGAAAAAGCATTCCATACTCGTGTATTTGAAGAGTGGATATTTAAAAAATGGCCAGAGTGCTTAAAGCAACTTACAGATTCAACATTATTCCAATCAAACTACCAACATCGTGTTTCACAGAATGAGAAAAACCCATTCTAAATATAATATGGAACCAAAAAGAGCCCAAATAGCCATAGTAATCCTGAGCAAAAAGCACAAACCTGGAGACATCACACTACCCAACTTCAAACTATACTGTCAAGCCACACTAACCAAAACAGCTTGGTACTGGAACAAATACAGACACATAGACCAATGAGACAAAATAGAAAACTCAGAAATACAGCTGCACAAGTACAACCATCTGATTTTCATCAAGGCCAACAAAAATAAGCAATAGGGGAAAGGACTCCTTATTAAACAAATAGTGCTAGGATAACTGGCTAGCCATATGCAGAAGATTGAACCCTTCCTTTCACCATATACAAAGATTAACTTAAACGGTTTAAAGATTTAAATGTAAGACCTCAAAATATAAAAATCCTGGAAGACAACCTAGGAAATACTCTTCTCAACATCATTCTTGGCAAATGATTTTTGGCTAAATCCTTAAAAGCAATCACAACAGAAAAAATTGACAAGTGGGACCTAATTAAACTAAAGAGCAAAAGAGATGATCAACAGATCAAACAGACAACCTGTGGAATAAAATAAGATATTCAAAAACTGTGTATCCAACAAAGGCCTAATACCCAGGATCTATAAGGAACTTAAACCAACAAGCAAAAACCAAATAACCTCATTAAAAATGGGTAAAGGACATGAACAAACACCTTTGGAAGGAAGACATACAAGCAGTCAATAAACATATGAAAAAATTCTCAGCATCACTAGTCATCAGAGAAATGCAAATCAAAACCAAAATGAGATAACATCTTTCACCAGTCAGAATGGCTGTTATAAAAAGTGAAAAAGAAGAAATAAATAATACATGCTGGCGATGCTGCAGGGAAAAGAGAACACTTATACACTGTTGGTGGGAATGTGAAGTAGTTCAGCCACCGTGGAAAGCAGTCTGCAGATTTCTCAGAGAACATAAAGCAGAGCTACTAGTCAACCTAGCAACCCCATTACTGAGCATATGCCCAAAGGAAAATAAATTATTCTACTAAAAAGACATATCCGCTCATGTTCATCCCTGCACTATGCATGATAGCAAACACATGGAATCAACCCAGGTGCCAATCAATGGTATATTGGATAAAGAAAATGTGGTAAATATACACAATGGAATACTACACAGCTATAGGAAAGAATGGAATCATGTCCTTTGCAGCAACACACATGGAACTTGAGGCCGTAATCCTAAGCTAATTAATGCAGGAATAGAAAACCAAATATCACATGTTCTCACTTATATGTGGGAGCTAAACATTGAGCACACTTGTACATAAATATGAGAACAACAGACACTAGAAACTACTAGATCAGGGAGGGAGAGATGAAGGATGGGTTAAAAACTACTTACTGGGTAACTATGCTTACTAACTGTGTGATAGGATCCATATTCCAAACCTCAGCATCACAGAATATTCTCATGTAACAAACCTGCACATAGACACACTATATCTAAAATAAAAGTTGAAATTGATCTTAAAAAGATTATTTGACTGCGTTAAAAGAAAGATCTCTCACAAAAACCACTGTAAAATTTTTTAAAATTGAGACATACACTGAGAAAAGACATTTTAAACACATATAAACAATAAAGAATTAATATATAGTATATATAAAGTATTTTCACAAATCAGTAATGAAACACCAAAACTTCACGAGAAATACAGTCAAGAGTTTAAACAGATGTTTCACAGAAAAGAAAATCCATTTAGTGAATAATAATATAGAAATATGCCCAACTTCATTAATAATCAAGGAAATACAATTTAAACTATAGTGAGATACCATTTCGAATCCAGCGTATTGGGAAAAAATCTGACAAAAAAAAATCTGGCAAGGATATGAAAATATTGGCATTTTTCTGCATAGCTACTGGACATATATATTAATACTACTATTTAGGTGACCACATTTGCAATATCGGGTAAAGTTGAAAATGCCCCCACTCTTCAACCCAGCAGTTATACTTCTAGTTATAAGCCTTGTAGACTTGCTTGTAGTATTTATAATAGTGAACCATCTGAAATAACAAATGCCTATCACTAGGAGAACACACTGATATATTCATATTATGGAAAAAAATAAGCAGTTAATGTGACAATCTTGAGCTGCATATATAAACATTGTTAAACCTTTAAAATATAAGTCTCAGCAAAGATAAATGATATATAGTGTCATGCTATTTATTATAAAGCTATAAAGCTTAAAGGCAACAAACTGTATAGTTTAATTGACAAGTAAGTGTTAAGGATATAAAAAATATAGGAACAATAAACATCCAATTGAAGATAGTAGTTTACACTGGTGAGGGAGATGGGAATATACAAAGGAAGTTTACAAAGCATGTTTCAATGTATTTGTAATATATATTTTCTAAGAATTTGTAATGCATCTATACCAAAAATACGTATTAAATGATAGCAGAATATTCAGAGTTGATAAAGCTTGCTGGTGGGTCAGTAGCTATAATATTTTTAAATTATTTGCTGTAATTTAAAAATCATCCTCTATATTTTATGTATATTTGAAATATATTAAATTAAAAAGTGTAAGTATTTTTACCTGATATCTAAGGAGATAAATCTTAAAAAGTATGTTTTAAATAAACTGGATACAAAAGCAGAGCAGAATGCATATGGCTCTGAGAGAAGCTAAGGATGTTTAATACATTCTAGGCTTCTCAAATTGTTCATTGTAGTGATTGATCTGTGAGAGATCTTCTCATTAAAAACTTGGAAATAATAGTTAAAATATATACCTAACAAGTTTGAAACTACCTAATGCAAAAACAGTTCTTATTAGAAATACTGAGGAAATCTGTAATATTTATATAAAAGCTTGAGGTTTGGTAGTGAATATATTTGGTTAGATTATCAATCGTTAGAATTTTGAAGGTGCAGCATTTGTTGATGTCAATGTTGTTAGGTAACATTTAGATCTTCCACAAATTCACTCTCTAGTTGTCTGTGACTCCAGATAAATTTTCGTTCATTGTTCATTGTTCCCTTCTGTTTTGAAATAAGAGAACAGAATCCACACAAAAGAACAACCCCACTACAATTTTTTGCGTTTGTGGTATTTCTCATATGGAGCAAAACTACCTTACCATGGTTTTAGGTCATTATTCAACTAATTTCTTAAAGTTAAAGATTTTTCTTCCTTTTGTTAAGGTAAACATGTTTTGCTGTTGTTGCAAATGAATGCCCTTGGGTAAAAAGATAATCACCATTACACACAAACATATGTATATGGCCATGTGCATGACTCAGTTTATCTTAATACAGAAAGAAAAATAAATAGTACTATTAATTTAGCATAAATTGTTACGGGATGCAAATATTTGGAAATAAAGTTAAAAATAAATAGTAAAAATTATTTTTTTTAACTTTCTCAGTAGAGAAATTTCTGGTCTTTTTTTTCCTCAGGATCTAAATGTCCTCATACCGCATTTGTTCTCTATGGAACAATGATGGTGAAAAGTTGACAAACACATTTTAATTGCTCAATATGGTATTTGAAATAACCTTTCTTTCTCATGAATGTTATTATCAGTTTTTAAAAATAAAGCTACATTGCATAAGAGGTAATAATTTATGGCGTCGTTGCACAGGTATTAATGAAACAAATAGCAAATAAGAACTTCAAATTTATTTTGAGCGAAATGGAAGACAATTGTAGATAAATTTAAGGAAGTTACAAGTGACTTGGCTATTTTTCTTACCATCAAAATTACTGGCAGTTTAGTAATAATGATAGGCACTTTGAGCTATTTTTGAAGTACAGCATGACTTGAAGCTCACGGTGATTTTAAATAAGGTTTTTTTCTTGGAAATCGTATTTTTATTTTTTTTGAAAAGTGCAAACTAATTTTCTTGGTGTCATTTTGAAATTATGGATCAACAAGTGAGAATCAAAGAGAAAGTGATTTAATGTGAACCTTCTGTAAAGTTCTCCCAGATTTCAGATCTAAGCTTAAAGTCAAAATTGGACTGTCCCTGCCTTGATCTTTCAGAACACATGTAGCCTACACTGAACATTTTGGAATACGAATATACGTAATTTAGCAACTTAACTGACTTGTTCACTTAGCTCTCAAATACACTGTAAGTGCTTTGTTAAAAGGAATAAATGTATTCTTGTTTCCTACCCTAACGTTGTTCACCTCAAAATTCTACACAAATTACACGCTTTGTAAACTTGAATTGTTCGTGATCTTGTCAATCCCCCTTTATCCCTCTATCATGTGGTTCTTTTTTTCCAAGTCTAAGTTAAAGATTAACAATTTTACTTATAATTTCTAAGTTTCTGTTAGTTTCCCACACAGAAGTTTAAGCACCAGAATTTTTATTTTTCAAGTAAATTAGGAAAAGTTTTCCATAAGGAGACTCCTTTGGCAACAAATTAAAATACAACTGATATATGATTCAAAAGAGCAGGACCTAAGACTCCCAAATAACCACAAGTATTATATGAACCATTTTCACGTAACCTGACGTCTGGACAAGAAGCTTTTTCTTGGTATTGTTGGCCTTCTGGGTAGTGAGCATGCCATTTTGTGGTTTGTAAAAATAATCATTTCTTTTTTTTTATAGTGAAAGTACAAATTCTTTTTTATTTTTTTTATTATACTTTAAGTTTTAGGATACATGTGCACAACGTGCAAATTAGTTACATATGTATACATGTGCCATGTTGGTGTGCTGCACCCATTAACTCGTCATTTAACATCAGGTAAATCTCCTAATGCTATCCCTCCCCCATCCCCCCACCCCACAACAGGCCCCAGTGTGTGATGTTCCCCTTCCTGTGTCCATGTGGTAATGGTAACAGGGGACATTATTGCTTCTGATCTCAGTAGGAAAACTTTTAAGTTTCTCACCATTAATTATAATTTTAGCTGTAGGTTTTTCATAGATGTTCTTTATCAAGATGAGGAAGTTCCCTCGTATTCCTAGTTTGCTGAGAGTTTTTATCATAAACGTGTGTTTGATTTTGTCAAATGCTTTTTCTGCAGCTGTTAATATGACCATGTTATTTTTCTTCTACACTCTGTTGATATGATTGATTAAACTAATTGTTTTTCAGATGTTCCCAGTCTTGCATACCTGGAAGAAATCCCACTTGGTCACGATGCATAATTCATTTTATGTATTGTTAAATTTGATTTGCTAAGTTTTTGTTGAGGATTTTTTGCATCTATGTATATGACAGTTATTGGTCTGTAGTTGTCTTTCCTTGTAATGTTTTCTCTGGCTTAGGTATTAGGGTAATGTTGGCTTCATAGAATGAGTAAGAATTACCTCTGCTTCCATGTTTTGAATGAGATTGTATAAAATTGGTATTTCTTCCCTAATTGTTTAGTACAATTCAACATGTAATTTATCTGGGCCTGGTTCTTCCTGTTTTTGATATTTATTAATTTTTAATTCAATTTATTTAGTAGATATAGGCTCATTTATGTTGTGTATTTCTTCTTGTGTAAATATTGGCACATCATGTCTTTCAAGGAATTTAGTCATTCATCTAGGTAACTAAATGTGTAGATGCACTGTTGTCCATAATGCTCTTTTATTATCTGTCAATGAGATCTGTAGTGATAGCCCCTATTTCATTTCTGATATTAGTAATTTGTGTCTTCCCTCTGTATTTCTTAGTTTGCCTACTAGAGGCTTATCAATTCTATTAATCTTTCAAATAATTAGCTTTTGGTTTTATTGATTTTCTCTATTGATTTCCCATTTTCAATTTCATCGATTTCTGCTCTAAATTTGTATATGTCTTCTTCTTCTTACTTTGGACTCAGATTACTCTTGTGGATTTGTAAGTTGAAAACATAGATGATTGACTTTAGATCTTTCTTTTTTTTCTAATATGTGTATACAATTTCTTCCTAAGTACTGCATGCATTCATTGCATTCCACAAATTTTGATAAGTTTTTAACATTTTCATACATCCCAAAATACGTGTTAATTTTACTTGAGAATTCTTCTTTAACCCATGTGTTAATTAGAAGCATGTTTCCTAATCTTCAAGTATATGGGGGATTTTTCAGTTATCTTTCTCTTATCGATTTCCAGTTTAATATCATTGTGATCTAAGAGCAGACATTATATGATTTCTGTTTTATAAAATTTGTTAAAAGATGATTTATGGTCCAGAATATGGTCTATCTTGTTGAATATTCCCCTTCTACTTGAGCTTGAGAAGAATGTATATTTTGCTCTTGTTGGATGAAGTACTCTATAGATGTCAGTTATATTCAGTTGATTAGTGATACTGTTGTGTTCAACTGTGTACTTATTGATCTGTTGAATCTATTTCTGATAAGAAGGTGTTCAATTCACCAAGTGTGATATGATATTTATTTATTTATCCTTGTACTTGTATAAGTTCTTTTCTGATCCATTTTGGTGCTGTGTTGCTGGATACATACACATTAAGGATATTTATGTCTTCTCGAAGTCTACTGATTTTTTTTATTATTATGTACTGCATCTCTTTATTCCTAATAACCTTTCTTATTCAGAAGACTATTCTGTCTGAAATTAATACAGGTACTTCCACTCTCTTTTCATTAGTATTAGCATAGTATGCCTCTATATCCATTCACTTTTAATCCATATGTGTCTTTTAAAATTTTTAATGTATTTTATTATATTATTTTTATTTTTGAAACAAGAAGGCAGGGTGTCACTTTATTCAGCCTCAGCTAAGAATGTGCTCATAGAGTGACTGAAATTTTTTGTCACCCTGTGCATATCTGTGAATGATTATGAAAGTGCTGCAAGTATTGATTTGAAATTACTAATAAATTGCAGTGAGTAGGTAAATTTGTAAATATGGAATCTGAGAATTATGAGCATCAACTGTACTAATAAAGAATAAAGACTGTACATACAAATTTACACTTAATTAGGCATTCAGTGTCACTATGGGATGATTAAAACAGACAAAAAGAAACCAACATTATTATTTTTATTATGTTAGATTCAGGAGGTAATTATATGCGTTTGTTACCTGGATATATTCCATAATTGTGAAGTTTGGGTTTCTAGTGTACCCATCACCCAAACAGTGAACATTGTCCCTAATAGATAATTTATCAACCCTCACCCCCATCTATCTCCCTCTTTTTTAGAGTCCCAAGTGTCTATTCTATTCATCTATATGTGCCCATGTATTTATTGTTTAGCTCTCACTTATAAGTGAGAATATGCAGTATTTGTTGTTCTGTTTATGAGTTATTTCATCTAGGATAATGAACTCTAGTTGCATCCATGTTGCTGCCAAAGACATGATTTTATTATGCTTATGGCTACATGGTGTTTCATGGTATATATATACAACATTTGCCCAATCATCTATTGATGGACACTTGAGTCCATGATTTTGCTATCGTGAATAGGGTCGTGATAAATATATAAATGAAAGTGTCTATTTAATATAATGCTTTCTATTCCTTTGGGTAGATACCCATTAGTGAGATATCTGGGTTGAATGGTAGTTCTATTTTTAATTTTGGGGGAAATGTTCATACTGTTTTCCATAGAGGTTGTACTAATATACAATTCCAACAACAATGTGTAAGTGTTGCTTTATTTTTCTGCATCCACATCAAAATCTGTTTTGTTTTGGTTTTTTTTTTTTTTTTTGACTTTTTAATGTTACCCATTTTGACTGCTGTGAAATGATATCTCATTGGGGATTTTGTGCACATTTATCTGATGATTAGTTTTGTTGAGCATGTTTTCATATGTTTGTTGGCCACTTGTATGTCTTCTTTTAAGAAATGTCTGTTTATGTCCTTTGCTCACTTTTTAATTTTTTGTTTGTTTGTTTTTCTCTTGTTTAGTTGTTTGAGTTCCTTGTAGATTCTGGATATTAGTCCTTTGTTGAATGCATAATTTGCAAATATTTTCTCCCATTCTGTACGTTGTCTGTTTAATGTGTTTATTATTTATCTTGTTCTGCAGAAGCTCCTTTCTTAAATTAAGTCCCATTTGTCTATTTCAGTTTTTTATTTGCACTTGCCTATGAGGTCTTAGTCACAAATGTCACAAATTCTTTGCCTAAGCCAATGTCCTAAAGAGTTTTTCCTAGGCTTCTTCCAGAATTTTATAGTATCAAGTATTAAATTTAAATCTTTAATCCATTCCGAGTTGATTTTTGTATATCATTAGAGATAGGGGTCCAGTTTTATTATTCTACATAAGGTTATCCAGTTTTCTCAGTACCATTTATTGAATAGAGTGTTTTTTCATCCATTGTTTATTTTCATTGACTTTGTTGAAGATCAGTTGGTTGCAGGTATGTGAATTTATTTCTGGGTTTTCTATTATGTTCAATGGATTTATGTGTCTATTTTTTTGTCACTACCATGATGTTTTGGTTACTCTAGCCTTGTAGTGTAATTTAAACTCAGGTAATCTGATGGCTCCAGCTTTGCTCTTTTTGATTAAAATTGCTTTAGCTATTTGGGCTCTTTTTTGGTTTCAAATAATGTTTTTTAATTCTGTTGAAAATGTTATTTGTAATTTGATAGAAATTGCATTGAATCTGTAGATTGTTTTGGGAAGTATAGTCATTTTAATGAAATTGAGTCTTCTAATCCATGAGCTTAGGATGTTATTCCATTTGTTTATGCCATCTACAATTTCTTTCATCAGTGTTTTATAAGCTCTCCTTTTAGAAATATTTCATGTCCTCAGTAAAATGTATTCATGGGTATTTTATTTTCTGTGTATGGCCACAGTAAATGGAATTGAGTTCTTAATTTGGTTCTCAGTTTGGATATTATCGATGTATAGAAATGCTACCAATTTTGTGCATTAATTTTGTGTCCTGAAACATTGTTGAAACCATTTATTTGACCTAGGAGTCTCTTTGGGGAGCCTTTAGGGTTTTGTAGGTATAAGATTGTGGAATACAAAACGGAGAAAATTTGACTTCCTCTTTTCCAATTTGGTTGCCTTTTATTTCTTTCTGTTGCCGGATTGCTCTGGCTGAGCCTGAGCCTCTGGACTGTGAACTTCAGAAGAGCTTCTCAGCTTTCCTCACTCCCACTTAGGTAAGGCAGAATTATTGAAGAGGGCTGGAGTTGTGGATTTCTCTTTCCCCACCGTTCTAAGAGAAGTTGTTGATTTTTTAGTTTGTTTAGCTGTTTCCTTGTAGATAGGGTTGAGTGAAAATTTCTAAGCACTTTGCACTCTGGTGTAGAAAATTGAAGTCTTACATTTTTAAAATGCTATTTTTGGAAGCTAGTAATCCTATCAGTATTCTCAAAGTAACCTTCCAATGTGATATTTAAGAAATTGAGAGAACATAAATAAAGAATTCATCACTTCCTTAATTAGAATTTTTTATTTCCTTTGATTGAAGTTTTATGCATGAAATTACATATTGGAGTAATCAAACAGGCTTATTCATTAATATAATTTATTCATTTTATTATAGACAGTAGTAAGATACAGATATATTAGCAAAAAGCAACATAATTATATGTATTTATTTAAAAAATCTTTCTAGTCTTTGCCTTTGAAGATTACTCTGTGATAATTAAATCTCCCCGCCTTGGTGTTGCTATTCCTTTATGCTGAATAAGCTCAGCTGCAGGAGAAACCTCTCAGGTAAAGAAGCAGACAGCAGCAGGTGTTTGAAGAAGATAGTTGTGAGACAAGAAGAATAGACATGGGATAGGGTCACGATTTTTAGTATCATAGAAAGAACCTACAATAATCTATCACATAATATATAGATATTACATGGATGTAGTTATTATTTTTTCTATAGTAAATTAACTCATAAGGTAAGTGGTAAGTTGCAGCATCTACAGCACAGTCCATATATAACATTTAATTATTACAACATGACATTTCTAATTTTAAAATTTAAAAATTTTCATGTGTACATCATAAACGTACTTATTTATGGGGTACATGAGATATTTTGATACAGGCATGCAATGTATAATAATCACATCAGGGTAAATGAGGTATCCATCACCTCAACAATTCTTCATTCTTTTGTGTTATAAACATTCTAGTTACACTCTGTCAGTTATTCTAAAATGTAAAACAAATTATTGCTGACTGTAGTCACCCTATTATGCTATCAAATACTAAATCTTATTCATTGTATCTAACTATATTTTTGTATCCACTTCGTATCCTGATTTCCCACATTCCACTACTGTACCAGTCCTTTCTCATGCTGCTATAAAGAACTGTCCGAGACTGAGTAATTTATAAAGAAAAGAGGTTTAATTTACTCAGTTCTACAGGCCTGGGGAGACCTCAGGCAACTTACAATTGTGGCAGAAGGGGAAGCAAACAGGTCCTTCTTCACATGGCAGCAGGAAGGAGAAGTGCTGAGTAAAGTGGGGAATTGAATTGTTTTTAAATTTTTTTTTAAATGTTGTTGGTTTCCACCTTTCTTTTGCATCTCTTTGAGTAATGTAATAAAATTTTGAATTCCTTTTCTGATATTTCAAAAAGTTCATCTTGGTTTGTGTCCACTGCTGGAGTTAGTGTGATCTTTTGGGGTTTTATAGAACTCTGTTTTTTCATATTGCCAGAATTATTTTTCTGGTTTCTTCTCATTTGGATTAAATGTTTCTCCTAATTATTTTTGAATTTATTTTTGATTTGACTGGTTTTTTTTTTTCTCCTAGAGAATGTGACTTTAATATTTATAGTTTATTGTCACTTAGCTTTTGCTCTAGTTGATTTCAGAGACAGATTCTGAATGTGTTCCTTGGCTATGGAGAATCTTTGAGCAATGGCTTTCTCAGATGGTAGTTATGGTGGCAACATGCTGGGGGTGTGAGCAGGTTCATTCTCTTTTAGAGCTATAATGGACGAAGTCTCGGGAAGCTTATCTCATTATCAAGTGGTGTGTACTTAAAAAAAAATGCCCATATTTCATTCATAGGATTAAACAGCTCAGCTTCAGGAAAGTAGGAGGTGCCCATGGGTAAAACCCCGCTATGGCTAAAGCAGGTGGGTAAATGCAAAATCTGAATGGTGGGCCAATGTCCCAGTTTTGACAGAGGAAACCGGGGAAACTCTCAGTAAAATGAACAGAAGTCTATTTAGAGGGAAGGGAGGGAGCTGCCACAGCCTCTCTTCCAGGCCAGCTGGACAGCAATCCAGCTTCCAGTCACTTTCCTGACACAGTGTTTTAGTTGTGATTTTCCACGTAGAGAGGGATTTTGACTCTACCTATTGTGCAAGCGTGAACCTGGAGTGCACTATTCCTGTGGGGATGCAGTCACCCTGAAATGTTCCAGAAAGGCTGTCTGCAGATGCACCCATGCTTAGCTTCCATCTGAGAAGCCCCAGCTGTGTCCGTATTACTGGGTGAGGGGGAAAAGTAGTACCCTTCTCCAAGACCCTTCATGAGCACCGGGGATGCCTGACTGTTGGGTTAGACCTGCAGACTTTCTCCACTGAGCCCAGCACTGCATCTGTGCCTATGGGAAGAAACTATCCACAAGTGGAAAGTTCAGGGACTCAAGGATCACAGTCTGGTCTCCTTTGTCCCGCTGGATTTTCCCTTACTGTGATACATGTCTTCTTTTCCTAGGAGTAGAAATCCTGAGGGCAAGACTACTGTGAATGCTGCTGCTCCTCTGGGTGTAGCTACCCAGTGGGGTTGCCACGTTCCAGGCTCGTTTAGGAGAATGTCTGCAGGGGATCTAGTTATTTAACCTGTCCTGTAGTCTCTTAGAGTGCGTACCAGCAGAAGTTCTGTTGAGGCTGGGAGGGGAGTGATGTAGACTCTGTGAGATTTCGTTGGTTGTAAATAGCCTAACTATGTTGGCTTTCTTAAATGCCAGCTTCAATAATAATGTACTGGGCACATGGCCAAACTCAAGACCTCCTGGTTATCCAGTATGATGCAGGCAATGCTGATAGCTGAGGTCGTGAAAAAGTTTTCTTGCTCTTGAGGGCTGTGTTATTGTGCCCACAGTTGTAATGGGCTGTGCTGCTTGGCCTTCAGCCGGGAGGTGGTGCAGAGGAGTTACAGCTGCAATGGCACTGTTGGGATCTGTGTTTGCCTTATGTTATCCAAGGGACATACTCCGGTGTTTTAGGCAATGGCTGGAGCCACGGAGTTCCCAAAAGTCTTTGACCATTGTGTTATGCTACTAGGGTGTGTGGAGGGAAAAAGCCAAGTTGGTGCTGAGTCAGGCAAGTCCACACTCTGGTTCCCTATGTTTGGGTACAAACAGCAGCCCCAATAAGAATCAGATGGAAGTTCCCTGGCCACTGGAGTAATGTTCTAAGGTAGAATGCAGCTGTCTCTGCTCCACAAAAGAATCCACACAGGGAGCAGAGAGTAGCAGGTGGCAGTAAGACCCATTCAACTCCCATGCATATGGCAAGGCAGGTTCCACATCCACATTGTTTTGCTAGCAGCAGCTAGCTGGGAAACAGGCAGCCTGCACTTAAAACTCAAAACTGCCTCAGGCCATAAGCCTTCTCCATCAAGTCAGAAATGACAGCTTTCAGGTCGTGCCCCTCCAAGTCCAACCACGAAGCAAGGGCACTCAGCTCCTGTAGCTATAGAACACTTCCCATTAGCCCCTTGGTTCTGGCCAAGGGGATTTATCCCCACTCAAGAATATATCACAAATTTCAACTGAGAACTTCTCTCAACCTGTGACCACAGCCTGATTTAGCTGGCAGACTTCCACAAGGTCCCCTATGAGATAAGATCAGGAGTCACTTTTCTCCATCACCACTGGAATCGTGGAGTACATGCAAAGCATGTCCTGATGCTGCTCTATATACTTCACACTGTTCAATGAATCAGCTCTAGTACTGGGTAGGATTAAAGCATTACCCCATGGCCTGGGTTACCTGGCCTCCCTGTGAGATGGTGTGTCATGGAGGGAGTCTCTCTCCCTTTGATGCTCTGCAAACTCATAGTTTTCTGCATGGTTTATAGTGTATGCTCCTGCCTGTTGCTTTTTGCAAAGGGTCTGAGGTTTCTTTTAGTTTTTCTATTAAGTTCTTGTGTGGTTTCTCGAAAAAAAGTTCACAACAAGTATCTCCACACACCATTTTGTCTTCCCAAGTGGGAGAGGCATGCTAATAATGTCTCCGACCCATTGTCTTAGAAAGAAAATCTCCTTTGTGTTTTTAAGAAGACGTGAATGTCCAACAGCTATGTATCAAGATTATTGGGCTAGGATAAATCTTGGTAATACATTGAACTGGAAATTTTTTTTGTTTTAAACACATTTATTGTGAAGTATAACGCATATAAGGAAAACTATATAAAATATTTGTCTAGTTTAGCATTTGATTATAAAGTGAACATCCAGTAACCATAACTAAGTTCAGGAAATAGAGCATCTTTTTTATCACAAACTTTTTATCTCCCTTAAGGATTAATAGACTTCTGTTTTTGGTGAAAATTGCTTCTTTACTTTCTTCATAGTTTTGCTACTGATTCACACATCCTTAAACACTATTCTTATAATTCCCTGTGTTAAAATAAAACTTTCGACAAATTAAATTAAGCAGAGTTTGAGCAAAGAATAATTCATGAATTGGGCATCACTTTCAACCAGGAGAGGTTCAGAGAATGCCCAATAACATGGACAAGTAGCATTTATAGACATAAAAAGGAGGTTACATGCAGAAACAAATTGATTGATTACAACTTGGCATTTGCCTTATTTAAGCACGATGTAAGGAGGTCTTTGACTTTTATGTACATGATCTGATCAGTTGGTAGCCTGTGATTGGATGAAACTTGGCTGTTACGATTGGCTGAGACTCAGCTACTCCTTACTAAAATATATCCTTAAATTAGGATGCAGTATGTTTACATACTCGGTTAGGTTGCAGTTTGCTACATAGGAGCTCAAAGTACCTAGACAATGCTGGACCAAAATTAGTCTACTTTAAGAGATGTTTTTGACAAGTGTTGTAAACTTTTGACATATTTGACAAGCCTCCCAAAGTCAGATTTCAACTACAAAATTAAGTCTTTTGTTTTTTAAATTGTTAACTTCAGAATGTTATGGAGGGCATCTGCAACATCTGATAGAGAGATAAAAAGCATTATTTGATATGTTCAATTACTTGGAAAGCATTGTCAAATAAGAAATGTTGTTTAACCTTCTTTGAGATGTATTGTATTGAATATGTTATTAATATGTGTTCCAAAATTGTATGTGATTCCTAAAATGATGATGTCTGGGTACATGTTATCAGTTGTAATTATGGTTATTATGTTAAATTATGTAGGCCACAAAGTCACAAAATTTTGTTGGCATTTGTGTCTTTATGCTTATTTTAAGTTCTTTCCACAGTTAATCGCTTAATTCTGATGCACTTTTTGAAAACATCACTAACAAGTAAAATCTTAAGAGTATTGTGTTTTCAGGGAGGTTCATGAAAGGATGGAAAGAACCCTGACAAGTGCTCCTGAATACAAGGTTCTGATAACTTTAGGATTATATCATTTGGACTGAGTAACAATTCCCCTAACTCTAATAAAAAGACTGACTGGTTGATAATACTGCTAACCCCAGCAGAACAAAAATTAATTGAATACCAAGTAAATACCTCGCTAGATTTTTATGCTAAGTCTACCAGTACTGAAAATGTTTAGATATTCAGTTTTAATAAACTTATGATCCAAGTCAAATTATCTATGATAACCCTGATAAATAGTACACACCTAAATTGGAGAAGTAAAATTTGTATTTAAGATATAATTCCAATATTAAGTGTGGACTCATAGAGAAACTGGATGACTCTATGTGGTCTTTCGTGAGTCCTTAAAGCTTTCATTATTAAAAGCTCTGCATTCCATGACTCATTATGAAAGAAATAAGATGATTCAAATTGAATATATATATTTTTAGAAGTCACTATATATATATATGCATGTATATGTATGTAGAAACTTCTAAATTGCTAAAGTGGTTTTTGACCATTGTTTGGTTTGTCAAACCCATAATCCTGGGAAAACAGTCAAACTTCAGGTACATCTCTAATAGCTGATGGGCCAACTAAGCATTTATAGAAGGATTTCTTTCCATTGTCATTTTCGATGCATGTTTTCTGTTTATATAAAAGCTTTCCCTCACAAGAGGGCTGATGTTATAATGATAGCTGAAACATTATTAGGAAATATGTTTTCCTCATGGGATGTTCTTGAAGAAATCTCTAGTGATAGAAGTACTTGTTTCACTAGAAAAGTTGTAAAACAGTTAAATAAGGTATTACAGATACGATAGCATTAAGCAAAGCTAACTGAATTGACTGGCTTACCTTCATCAAAGGTATTGTAGATTAATGACAGATTCACTTCCTGTGGAAAAATAAGTTGATAACTTGTAAAATAGTCACTGAAAGGCCTATGTACCTAATAGTAGAAACTTATGTATCTTCTGCTTGTAAGCTCTGATATGACTAAATGCTACCAGGCTTTAATGCAATGTGCCAAAATGCATTTTCACCAGGTAAAGAAAGCTTTACATGTTCCACTGACTGAGCACATTCGAACCATTCACAATCTAGAACCTGGATATTGGGTCTTCTGAGAATGACATCAGAGAAAGACTGACCTTGCCACCCACACTGCCGCCAAATTTCAGGACCTTGAAACTTGGGGTTGGAATCTCACAACTCAGGAGGACCCTTCTCTGTATGTTGATTGGAGACCTTAAGGTAAAGGAACCCAGGGAAATTTCTCCCCAGAAGCAGACGTCATCCCAGACCTGGACTGGTTTTATCCCAAGATTGCAGATCAATACTTCTCTGCTATCATGAAACTCTTATTTCTCATTATTTTCCCTTGCTTATGCCTCAACGAACAATAGAACCGAAAATGAGGTCCCTCTTATTCATTCATAAGGTATACTTTTATTTGTGCAGGATTTTTTAGCCAACCTTATATGTGGACAACCATATGCCTTGATAGCTAAAATATGAAGGGCCAATGTGGATAAGAAATGATACCTTTGTTGCTTCATAATCAGTCAGAAATATAACATTGGTCCACTCCTGTTAACCTTCATCATAGATTAAAGAGAACAGTGTCAGAAGGCTTTCAGTCTTCTGGATGGGCATCATGTGTTAGGCCTCCTTTTTCATGGTTTGGAGTAAATGAAACAATGATTAGAAATGTATCCTTCATAATAAGTTGTATAGCAGATTATACTGTAAAGGCTATGATCACACAACACATTTTAAATTCTGTTGCTAAACTTGTGCTAAATAATATAATGGCTCTACTTTACTTACTGGTTAAACAGAGAAGTGGCTGTGCAGTTATTAATGAGTTCTAGTTGCACATGGAGGAATACATGAAGTATTTTAGAGGCTCATTTATAGGGGATCAATGAACAGGCTGCTTGATTAAAAGAAGTGTATTCTATATAGCTCATTCTTTGATCTGTTTGATTTTAGTTGATTTGGTTTATGGAGATCCTGGCTAGTGTACATGCTCCAAACACTTGGTATTATCTTCCTGATAGTCATAATAGTAGTTTCCCTGGTGTGCTTTATTCTTGCAAAAGCTTTAGACATTTGCATGCAGCCATCTCTAGAATGTCAAGGTCTCTCTTTGACTATAATGGCATAAACTCAAAAAAAGATGTGTGACCATGAGGACACCATAACTCATCAGTGATGTGCTGAGGCCAGGAACCCAAAATGATAGTAACTGAGTGACGCTAAGGCCCTATGTTTTGGTTACACTGTCATCTAAATGAGAACCTTACCAAAAGTGAAAAATTTTTAAAGAAAATTATGGGAAGCCATTGTTTTGGACTGAGCTCATGTTCTAGGCCCCAGCAGACTAAACCGAACAAAATTGGAGTCATTTATGCTAAATGTGACATAATCAAACTAAAACTTTAGCAAAACAGATAGATCCTAAAACAGACTAGGGTTTTTCTCCTGTAAATCAGAGATTACAACACAAAACTTAACCTCTTCTCTAAACATTTAAAAACTAATCACATAAAGTCCTTGTCCCCACCTTACAAAACCCACTGTTTTGCTATTTTCCAATGGGATTTGAGACCAAATAAGTGCATTTACAATGGTGACAGAGTGACATCAATGCTTAAAGTTTTGGTCTATCAAAACTAAGAGGATGATAAAACGGGGGGAATAGTTAAAGTAAGTTTAGCCTAAAGCTGCCTCACATATTTTATTAATAAGTTCTGCCTAAAGTTTTCTCCATACTTATCAAACTGTAACCTAAGTGGACATGTAAACTGACTGTAACCTACTCTTCTGCCCATCACTGAGTTTCAGCCAATCAAAGGCCGTCAACTGTTCAAACCAATTTCAAATAAGGCAAACACTGAACTCTATTCAATCTGGCTGTTTCTGTACACCACTTCCATTTTCTGTACATCACTTTTCTTTTTCTGTCCATAAATCTTCTTCTACCACGTGGCTGCACTCTGAGACTATTCTGGCTTGGGAGATTGCCTGATATATGAATCATTCTTTGCTCAATTAAGTTGTTAAGTTTTTTAAAAGGACATGTTTTGGGGCTTTTTATACACTTTTGAATATATGTGTTCTCTTGAGCCTAGCCTCTTTTGCATAATATCATGTTTGTAAAATGTATTCCTGTTGCTGTGTATACTTGTGTTTCTTTCATTTTTATTGCTTCATAGTGTGATGTTTATATGAATATACTATAATTCTACAATTATACACTTTTTGATGGCTATGTGGGTTTTTTTTTCTGTTGGGGCTGTTATGAATGGTACTGCATATATTTTCTTACATAAAAGGAGTAGTGAAATTGCTGAGTGGTAGGATATGATTTCCCTCAATTTTATTAGATAATTTCCAAATTATTCTCCAAAGTGGTTTTACAAGCTTATACTCTCACCAGGGGAATATGAACTTTCCTATCTTAAAGTGATTGCTTTCAATATTTTACCATTAAGAATGATACTTTATAGTTTTTTAGATGATTCTTATTGGATTAAATAAATTCACCTTGTTAATAGCACTCTACATATTTTTAATTGAGAATGGATGAGAACATTAAAAGAACCAGTTAGTCAATTTAGACATTTGAAATTTCATCCTTCTAGTGGTGTTTATCACTCTGAGCTGTTAATTTGTATTTTCTTGATCTTGAATATGGTCGAGCACTTCTTCATACGGTTATTGTCCATTTTGATTTTCTTCTTATGAAGTTTCATTCAAGTCAATTGCCCATTTTTAGAAGTTGGCATTGTTACCTGTTCTTTTTTTAAAATCGATATAGGTTTATTATATATTCTTGTTGGTTATATGCACAGTAAATATCTATGCTCACTCTGTGGCTTATTTGTTAATGTTCTTTATGATTTTTTTGATGAATAGAATTTTTAAATGTAATTTAATTTTTCAAACCTTCTATATTGTCATAAAAATCTACAACATTGTCTCTAAATGGCTTTGTTGTTTTTTCTTACAAATGTTGGTGCTTAATACACCTGGAATTGATATTTGTGTGTGGTGTATGGTATCCAATTATTTTTTACACTTTAATATTGTTCTATTGCCCTTTATTTAATTTTAAAAAGTCTTGTTATTACATCTTTTCATCACTGCAGCCTCTGTTCATAAATCAAGTTTCCATATATAAGTGAGTGAAAGTAACATTCCGTGCTTTATTTTCTGTTCTGTTGAGCTATTGTGCCCAATAATTAACTCATCATATTAACTACTATAGCTTTATAATAATCTTGGATAATAAGTTTATATGGTTATTGATATTTGGCAGAGCTATTTATACCATCATGTTCTTTTGCAACATTATTCTGACTATACTTGGCCCTTTGAATTTTCATATAAATTTTAGAGTCAACTTATCAAGTTATACACAAGAAATATTGTTGGAAATTTTACTGATGTGAAATTTAATCTATAAATCAATTTTTGATAGTTGACCTCTACAATTCATGTCTTTAATTTATGAACATTGTACTTCTCTCATTTATTTTGGTCTCCTTTAAATAACTCACAATGAAGTTTTAAATTTTTTCTAATTTTCTGTTGTGTTTTTTTCTAGTTATTTGATATTTTGGATCATATAAAATATTTAAAAATTTATAATCTTTTAAGAAAGACAACTTTACATTGTCCTTGTATTTAGCACATATAAGACAACCAGTTTTCATCATGAGTTTATTTGCAGATTCATTTTTATTTTCAACTTATAAAATCATATATTCTGTGGCTAATGATAGTTTTATTTCTTTCTGACCATTTTACCTCTTATTTGTACAGATATTCATTTATCTATTTATTTACAACTTACTGAGCTACCTAGGACATACAGTACACTGTTTTTATTTATTTATTTATTTATTTATTTATTTATTTGAGATGGAGTCTCGCTCTGTCACCCAGGCTGGAGTGCAGTGGCGAGATCTCGGCTCACTGCAAGCTCCGCCTCCCGGGTTCCAGCGATTCTCCTCCCTCAGCCTCCCGAGTAGCTGGGACTACAGGCACCCGCCACCACTCCTGGCTAATTTTTTGTATTTTTAGTAGAGATGGTGTTTCACCGTGTTAGCCAGCATGGTCTTGATCTCCTCACCTTGTGATCTGCCCGCCTCAGCCTCCCAAAGTGCTGGGATTACACGTGTGAGCCACCACGCCCGGTCCTGGTACACTGTTAAATAGAAACGGTGATAGCAACATTCTTCTCCCACTCCTGTGCTGAGAAAGTTGACTTCAGGATGTATAAAGCAAGGCCAACTTAAAAATCATTTATGTTGACTTGGAATGCAATGAATCCAAACCACTTAATTTAATAAGACAGTCTATATTTGAAATCACCAAATGTATGACTTATTTCATTCTTTATGAACTCTTTGCTAACTCAGAAGTGCTTTGACTGTTAACTTTTTTATTTTTACTGTTTTTAATTAGCCTTTCTCAGTTATACTTGCATATGTCAAATTTTTTAATTTTTAGATAATACTGAAATTTCTGAAAAAAAATTTGGGCTGTTTTTTACATGTTTGCATTTTTATAGAGTATACTTATATAGTCCATGTAGGTATCTGTGAAGGCAAATAGGTACATAGCTACATAGTAACTACAAGTTCCTATTAAGAGTAACAGAGTTTGGAAATTCCTTTCGGATGAAATGGTGGTAGTTAGAAATGCCTTTCTGATCTAGGCACCAACCCAACATTAAGATAGTAAGATAGGGGTAAGGAACGAAAAGCTTATTGCATAAGGATGTGATTTCAGAGAGGGTGGTACTATTTTTACAAGGGCGACATAAATTTAAAAATTGATTTGAGTACATATAAAAATTATTTAGATAGTTGCCTCATCTTCTCCCTATTAGAGCAATTTTAAAGCAGTAGAGGCTTCTCACCCACACTTAATGTGAAGAGACTGAAGATTTTTAGACATGTTCCAAAGACAAAAATCTGTGGACTCATGTTTAAACACTTAGAATTAATCCTGGGGGAAAATATACATATATTATTGGTCATCCTTACATTTTGTGAATACTGTTCTTCAGTTGCTAAAGGATGATGATTATCTCCCCATACTGCAAATGATCCAAATATTTTATTCATAGATAAGAGAAAGTGTATCATAATTTAACATCGTTCAAGAAGTGAAAAGCTCTGTGACTGCCTCACCCCAGGCTACAACCTAATGCTTTTACACAAAATCTGAGTTTAATTATATACTGTGTTTGTTGTCAAACATAACACCAGATAAGAAACAATAAATGGCTCAGAAGGCAGGACTGCATAGCCTATCCTTGTTGGTGATAAAAGCAACATCCATTATATGTATTATTATTTTTGAATATAAAGGGAAACATAGAGCTGTGGTTTTTGAAATTAAAAACATAAAATTGCCAATATTTTACATTCACTGACATGATTTTACCTATCACTAATAAACATTTGGGAATATAATATAGTTTAGAAATAGATTTACATTCAAAAGAAATATTAGATACTAGAATAGAATAGAATATATTTTAGAAATAGATTTACATTTAAAAAGAAACATTAGATATTATATTAAATAGCTTTATTTTATATAGATGAAAAAAGTTGCCAAAGTTGTCTCTTTAATTTGGAGCAAATTTAATCATTTGTCTCAGTTCTTGCCCATTCCTTTAATCAGATTAATTGTATCCTTGCTTTATTTACCTAGCAAGAGTTACTCTGTTGGTTCAACAATTCATTTTACAAGTGACTACAGATACTTAGTGAGCTTGACACCTACGTCTTCCTCAGTCTCAAGTATCTCTACTACTTGCTCTTCTAGGGGAATTATATAGAATGTGTATAATAGGTCAAAAAACAAAATATTTCTTTTATTAATGGTCTTTCTTTAACACTTTTATTCTCTTCCAAGTATACTTCATTTAGTGATGCCTTTCAATTTGTACTTTCTTTTCTGTTTCTGTTCTGAGTTAGTTAATGCTGAGGTTGTATAAGTCAGATAATATCATCTCTACTCCTATAACTGGTTTGCCTACTTAAATTACATTAATCAGGCAATTCTGATAATCTTTCTTCTCCCTGAGCACACAAAAACACATGAACAAGCAAACACACACACACGCTCGTGTGCAAAAAGACAGTTTGTGTAAAGCATCAAATTGATATTTGGTATAAGTTGGACACCACCATAGAGGAAAGGTTAAGATCAAGGTGAAGTTATTGGTTCTGGATTGGCAGGGGATAACTACATTGATTCTCTCCTTTCTCTTTGGATGTTATCCTCTATTTCTAACAACAGAAAATAATTTCATGGTTAGAAGAAAACCAGATGTGTATTTTCAATAATTTGATTAACAAATAGGTGCTATATACCTTCTATGATCTCATGTCTGTGGTAGATGTAGCTACTTGAGAAAAGCAGATAGAAAAAAAGGATGTTATATATAAAGAATAATGAGTTTGTCTGGCATGTAATAGTTATATTTGCAAACACAATGCACTTTTTTAGCATATGCTGTGGCATGAAAGAGGACTGGGGGCATGGCTATAGAAGAATGATGAAGCATGAAGAGTACTCCAAAGATGCTTACTGAGGTTTGAAAATGTTATTTTCCATTCTAATATGACTTTTCGGATGATAAAAACTTGTTCAAAACCTATGAACAACTTTAGAGATACTAAAACATATTGCTATCTAATAAAATAGTTTCAAAAGGATTTTATAAATTTAAACCCTGATAAGCAATACCTGAGAATGCCTGTTTTAACTACAGCCTCATCAATATTGACACTTTCTTCAGTATTACTAATTTCATAGGTGAAAACAGTATCTCACTAAAATTGCATCTTAGCTAGTTACTTTAGACAGTGTTATTGTCGTATGTCTGTCATCTAGTTGTTTTATCCTTTTATAGTTGTCTGTTGTTATGTTTTCCCAAAAACTACTTTTGCCCATGTGCTCTTGTATTGATTTGTGTGACCTCTTTATATAAAAACAAATAATATACCAATTGATTTGGCATAACTGGTGTGAATATTTTCCAAGTTTGCCTTCAAAATTTTATTTGGTTAATAGAAATATAAGAGTAAAATGTTAATATAGTTAAATTCATTGAGTTTTAATGTTTTATTTATTCTGTTATATTTTAATGATTTTTTGAAGTTCAACAATTTTATCCATTAAAAAATCATATATGTTCATTAAAGATAATTTGGAATATCCAAAAAACAGAAGAGTAAGAAAAGTTTTCTTTTGCTATTGCTATTTTCTGCCTTTTAGCACTATGCACTCTGCTTCATTTTGTTAACAGTATATGATAGAATAATTGCTCTTTCATGTCATGTTTCTTCCTGTCATGTCATGCAATTCATTTATTAAATAAACATTTATTTATCATCATTAAATATCAGCCACTCTTCCAGGTACTGAAATGCAGCTATGAACAAAGTCTTTGATCACATGGAAAATATTTTCTAGTGATAGTGTGGTGGGGGACAAAAACACATATCAACATAAAACATGATGGGTATTTTTTAGCGCTATGAAGAAAAAGAAAGTCGGTTAAGTAATAGTAATAAAGAGTTTTGGAAGGAGGGGTTGCAATTTAGTACAGGGTTTGAGGGAAACCGTTGTTTGGTGATACTTTAGCAGAGATCTGAGTGAAATGATAGAATGAGAAAAGAGAATCCCAGGCAAAGGGACAGAGCAGAAACAAAGGAGCTGAGATAGGAATGTGCTTGATGTTTTAGAGAACATTGAAGTGACAGTGTGACAAGAGTGGCATGAGGGAGGGGAAGTGCAGTAGGAGATTTAATCAAGGAGGTAAGGTCACAGTAAGAACTTTGAACTTCACTGAATATGAGATAGGCTGCCATTGATCATTTAGAGAGAGAAGTTACATGATATGACTTGTAAAGATTTACCTTGGTAGTTTTGTGGAGAATAGACTATAGGAAGAAAACAAGGAGAGCTGGAAAATCTGTTAGGAGACTACCAAAATAATCTGCCTTAATAAATAGCCTATCTTAATAGGCTACATAATGGCCTACATAAATAACCTACATTAGAGGATTAGAGGTGATGGCAGTTTGGACTGGGAGATTGGCAACAGAGGTGATATAAAATCCTAAGATTTTGAATATATTTTGAAAACGTAGCCATCATGATTTCCCGACAGATTGGATTTGGGGGGCATGAGAAGAAGAAAGGAGTAAAGAAAAACCCCAAGGCTTTTAGCCTAAAAACTTCAAGAAAAAAGCTGACATTTACTGAGATGAAAAATATACAAGGGTAGAGGAATAAGTTTAGACTGTGAGGACATAAGAGTTCAGTTAATACAAGGTGTTTGTAATTATATATTTAAATAGTTTTTCTTTATTAAAAATATCCTATACTTAAGCTTGCTATGGTGGAAATGTTTGTGTATTTCCAAAATTCATGTTAAAATCCTAACCTCCAAAGCTGCGATATTAGGAGGTAGGGTCTGTTGGGAGGTGATTAGAGAATGAGGGTAGGGTCCTCATGAATAGAATTGATGTCCTTATAAAAGAGACCCAAGAGAGCTTGTTTGCCCCTCCCACCAGGTGAGGCTGTGGGGAGAAGGCATTGTCTATGATCAATAGGCTCTCACCAGACACCTAACCTGCCTTGATCTTAGACTTTCAACCTCCATAACTGTGAGAAATAAATTTTCGTTGTTTACAAACTACCCAATTGATGGTATTTTGTATTAACAGCAGAAACTAAGACAAGCCTCTGGAACAGTGTTTCTAGATCAGAAGTTGGAAAATGAGAACTTGCAGGCCACCACTTGTTTTTGTATGGCCACAGCTAAAAAAAGGTTTTTACAGGTGAACACATTTACAATTGATTTGATGATTGAGAACACTAACTTTGAACCTTAAGTGAAATATACCCCTCTCAAATTCTTCTCATTAGTAGAATTTTATTATAGTATTCTTTTCTTCTCAATATCATCACTATATTTTGAATTTTGTCAAATTTAACATTTGTGGAAATGTGTTTTTTCTTCTTATATGAGAACCTGCATAATATCCTTGATGCTTCCTCTTGGCCCACAAGGGCTGCAACATTTGTTATCTGGACTTTTATATAAACAATTTGCTGACTCCTGTTCCAGAAAAAGTATGCATAAAAATCTTCTGGGAGCTATGAGAAAAAATGTAGATTTCTGTTCTTCACCCCAATGTCACCACTGCTACATCAAATTTGATTCGGTAAGCCAAGGGTGAGTCCTAGGAATCCAAATTTTAACAAATACTCCCATTGATTCTGATACACTTTGAAACACAATTTGAGAAACACAAAAATGCTGAACAGGTTTTAATACTGTCGTTTAACTAAATGTGGGCCAGTGCTTCCACACCAGCATGCTGGTAAATATTAGTTCACCAAAAAGATCTTACTGGAGTGAATTGCTACAGGGATCACACTTGCCTATGGTTCTGTCCACCTGTCCAGTCACCTTTCTTTGGACCATAGACTTGTTTGGGAACCAAAGCTTTGTTTTTGGACTAAGAGGTCTGTGGTTCCTAATTTGAGCCCACGTGATAATTGATGCATTGTTAGTCCTGGGATCCTTGTATTTGTTCTTATCTCCCTTTCTATATCATCTTTATTATTGCTTATATATGCATGCATCCACCCTCACATTCATCCATCCATTGATCTATTCGTCCATCCAATTTCCTTACAAACACAAAGATTTTAACTTGATTATATTTAGAACAGTCCTCCAGCCCAATTGCCATGCACATCTTGAGTTTTTAATAGGTATGATCTACCATTTGTGCCATAGAAAATTAAAAAATTTACCAATACACCTTGGAAAGAGAAAATTTTGGGTGTCTAACTCAGTACAAACAAAGGGAGCTTCAAAAATCAAATCATTATAACACATTTCAGAATCATTGTTATTATAATATTGCTTTAATACCTTAATAATTCTAAGAAGTTCTGGAGCTTTTAGATAGTACCTATGAAATTAAGAAAGCAAGCAGTAATGTATCTTCTGAGATAATTTCTAGCATTAAATACTGACACTTTTTAATGAACTTTCAATGCGTGCCACAAGTTTATATTTCCAAGGGCCAAGTCTTTCTTTTTGCCACCTTTTCTACATTCTCATTGTTCCTCTGGATCTACATCAATGGTGCAACAGAGAAAATGACTCTCCTTTCAGAGTTGTTATGAAAGATTTCCATGACTTTTTTTTATCCTTTTGTATCTAATCATCACCTTTAGAAATTTCTGTGAGGGCTCTCTCTCTGGAGAGAATGTATTAACTAGTATCTGACGCAGATATGTTTTCCATTTTTTCAACTGTAAAATTATTATTTTTTTTTGCATTTCAAAATGTGTATTCAATTGATCTGAAACTCCTCTCTTTTTAAATTATGAATTCTTAATACTGACAAGTTATTTAATATAATGTTCTTAATTATTCACTGAAGAATTTTTTTAGGGAGAGATTCCATATTGTTTTATGTATTTAAAAACATTTGAAATTTCATCCAACAACTTGAACACTAGGTAACCTTTGCATATATAGCAAGATAAACTGCTTTACCAGAAAAGGTTAGCAATACCCTAAAAATGTATGACCCAAGATCAATTAAAACATAATTGTCACAACCCCAATTTCTCAGCCCCAGATTACAGTTAAAATTTCAAGCAAGCAATTATTTGAGTCAGAAACTCAGCTTAAATGATATTTATGATGAGAATTGCTGCTGAGGGGAGGTTGTAGTCCTGTTTCCCAGTTTATATATTACCTTAAAATGTACTCAGGAGATATTTTTATACTTGAGCGTTACAATAAACTATATACCTGCATCTCTCACAATCTAAAGATAATACAAACAGTACTCAGTAGTCTGAGAAAATTATTCTGCCTGAAGTAAAACTGTTTTTCATTTTGGAGACTAAAGTAAGAGACATACCTAGTTTATACTTTTTCATTCTTTCATGGTTTCTTTCACTTATATCAAAATATAATACAAGTTTCAGAAAACTGCATCTTCCTACACATTTTTACTCTTTAACTGAGAGGGCTCACATTATTGTAATATGTCTCCATGAAACAACTAGATAATTTCATTGCCTATGTTACACTTCAGAAGTATTGGGCAGTTTCTCTTAGCGTTATCTCTTGTTATGCTTGCAGTATGATTTCATACCACAAAATTTATCCCACATTAGCAATATATATTTCTAGATATATTCCCTAGTCTTTGATATTCATATGCTCCAGCGCATGTATACATTATGAAACCACAATTCCAAACAGACCCCATGGCTTTGTCATTGGTTTAATTAGCATCATTATGAAATTTACATTTTTTAAAAGAATATCTTTAGCTAAATACATTCACTCACATCTAAACAGTAGACAAGTTTCCCACCATGTACAATGTAACGTGAAAGTCCTGAAGCTTTATCTCACCAAATTGTACAATATCAAACACATGCACATCTAATAGTTACAGATAAATTTCTGAGGTGATGTTTAGACAGACTACATAAACCAGAAATATCTCATGTACTTTTGCATAATCAGCAAGGATAGGATTGAGATTCAGTGAGGGAGGTAAGAGAGTAGAAGGAAGTAGATTAGCACCAATAATTATTTAAGCAATTTCACTTACAAATGAAATACTCCTGAGGCTTAGTGTCACTGTAGTAGTCATATCAATGATAAAAATAACCATACAAATTGAATACAAACGGTTTGTGATGTTTTATCTTCAATTAAGTATCAAAATAGGCAGAATTTTAATGCCTTTATAGTATTAATTTATATTTCTAACATTTAAATTACATTTATTTCTGTACATCCTTTCTTTTAATTATTTTGACTTAATTTGCCACTCCCCTATTTTTTTTAAATTCAGCAATAAACAAGGAAACAAATTATTCATGCTGACTTGCGTTGCTTTGTAATCATCTTTAATGTAATAAAACTGTCCTCTGAGACAAAAAGACTAAAGTAGGTTCTTATTTCTTTATTTATAAATATTAATATATGATAGATTTTTGTGCAACAAGACCATTTACTGATATATTCTGGGCTTCCTGAGACACTGAAAAAGAAATATTTGTAAATTCCTCACTGTATTTGTTTTATTCAGGGATTTAGTCTGCTCAATATCCTCAAAGAGAGGTTACTTAAAAAAAAGTTGGCTGTCATTCTGTGTTAATTCGCTTAAATTACTTTTTAAAATACTGTTTTGTAAAGTCCTTGATTTTTCAAAAGCATAATTTATCCTTTTAGAAGTTTCAATTTAATCACAAAAGGATGTAAAATTATTTAGTTTACATTATAGAAGACTTATTTTTTCATACAAAAGATTCCAACACTTGTGTTTCACTTACTCTAAAACAGAGCCAGTCATGCCATACAATATCAGCACTCATCCCTTATCAGCACTCCTTATCTCTCTTAAGCACTAAATATTTTTTTAAATAAATAAACTGTGAAGTTCCCAAAGTTTGATGAGAAATTTAGTGAGTAGACTGATCTTTTTTTCTACCAAATGGGAGCTATTTTGAAGTTGCCTGCGACTTTTGAGGGTGAAAGTATTTGGAGTTAGTTTTTTAAAGTTTTATAAGAATGATATCTTCAGTATTGGTACTTTGAATTCGTCAAGGCTTTATTTTCTCATATTTCCAATGGTAGCTAGATGATTTTTAAATACTTACTATGATTCCCTGGAACCAAGAGGGATACATGAACTCTCATGAGGCTTCAAGGAATCATTTGTTAAGTTACATTTCATGGGCAGTAAATAAAAACCTAAAATGTGTACGAATTAATTCCCTTCAAATGTGCATGCTCTTGTATCTCAGGGATTACTGTGGTCATACGGTTCGATTCAGGAGTAAGACTTTGTGAAATAGCATTGGTCTCGATGGAGCACCCCATTAACTTATAAAAAGTGTTGCTCTACAAATAGACTGTTTGATTTAAGTTACACCAATTATTAGAAGCTTTGTCTGTTGAAGACAGGCTCATCAATCAAGTATTAAACACAAAAATAATGAAAAAAAGAGCATGAGAAGAGGGAAAACATTGAGAAAACCTTTACACTGTAAGCACTAGTCTATGTAACCAACAGCACTATGTATAAGCACCAGTCTGTGTAACCAATCATTTCTCAATTACTGCTTCATAGAATGGGCCTTAATACAAATGGCTTATTCTGTAATAACTCATTTCTTTTGTCAAACATTGAGGGAATTGAAAAGCAAACAAATGGAGGGATATAATTCAGATTATGAATTCATTCATTCCACAAATACTTGTGGAATGCCTACTATATTCCAGGTATTGTCATAAGTGCTGAAAAAACTTGTTTTATCTATCTGCATTCATATATTGATACATGTCTAATTATTCCCTTAAATTAGGCCACTTATTTACAGGGAAGAGGATATTCACTCCATTCCTGTCTCCCCTTAAAAAAATATAGTAACTTTTTTCCACTGGGCTAAAAATATGACTTACATGTGTAGCATTTTATTTTTCTCCTTAACCATTATTACTAGATAGGCAGCAGCATGTGCCAACTTCTTGTACAAAAAAGCCTCCTCAAAATAACCTTGACTATGATGGCTTGCAATTACAAAACAATATTTTTAGTTTTCTTCTCCTTGGGTACATTTAAAGTTTGTACAAGTGATTGTTTTGAAAAGCTAAATAGAACAAAACAAAATTTGTACAAAATGGTGCATTCTTAACCTAACTGTTTAATTCGTACTAATTATCTCGTGCTAAAAGAAATGATGAGCAAAAGTACAGGATTGAAAAACTACTCTGGTGTTTACATTCAAATAGAGAATATCTTTCCTTCATGTTTTTGCTTTGATTTTCACCAACGGAATTTAAGGTGTTTTTTACAACAGTTTATCAAAGCCCTAAACATATATATTTTATCTGTTCTTAGGCATATTTTAATTTCTTCTTTTCTTTATACTGGCTAGCTTTTGAAAAATAGTAATAGTTTAAATACATTGTTCCAAAAATATATTAAATGCTTTTATTTGATAATTTTTACATTATAGATACCTGTCTATATTGAATCAAAGCATTTGTAAAGAATGCAGGCTAACACTGATACTTCAGGTTTATAAATTTACCTGAAAACTGGTAATGGGTAAAAACAAATGGAGAGTATATATGATAAATAATTACCAATATAAACATTTTAAATTTTATTTGTAGTTTCATAGTTTTCATATATGTTAATAATCACAATAATGTAAAGCAAGTTGGCTCAGAAAAATGAAAAATAATATTCGTTTTTAGTTTTCCATTTGTCAATCTAAATGCAGAATATATCTTGAAAGTATTCCAAAATTTTGATACATATATCAATATGATGTGCACATATTTTTTATCAGATTTAAGCTTTTACATATTATAGAAATTTTTTTGCAGTCAGTAATTAATAACGGTTTTAAGCAAGTGATGTTCATCACGGCATTGTTTACGCATGTAAAAATGTTAAAAATCATATAAATTAGATTCAATAGCAAACTGTTTAGATAAATTATAATATGTCAACACGGGAATAGAATACTATGCAGTCACTAAGATGATGATAGAGATTGATATTTATTGTCAGGAAAAGATGATTATTGTTCAGTTTAAAATTAAAAATACAGAACAGTACATATAGTGTGGATTTTTGGTCAAAATGTTTGTGTATACGTAGGAAAAATTATGAAAAGATATTTACACATTGAAAATATTAATTGTGGTATTTCTGAACTGTGGAAATTTTACTTCCTTCTGCCTTGTGTACATTTTTTACAATGAGCATGTCTTATGTTTATAATCAATATAAACAGTGATTTCCATTTTGAAAATATTTGCAAATGGATAAACCTGTAATTTGTAGATAAACAAATACATAGAAACAGCTTATTGTCATTATTTTATGGTCAAAGAGCTAACAAAAGTGTTAACAAAGTTATATATTTACATTGTACTATGTATGAAAATGAAGATTTGTATATAAGGTAATAAAACTGACAGTAGAGATAAAACATATTCTAATGTTGAATCTGTGGCATAAGTGAATCATATTATAAAAAAGTAATTATTTAAATTTTACATAAATTAGGTATTTTCTTCTTCCTAAAAGGACTTGAACTGGTATATATTTTTAAAAAGGTAATACAAAAAATAGAAAAATAAGTGTAATATGAATGGAAGGCAGGCAATGAGGAGAACAGGAAACTGCAAGTGAAATGTAGAGAATCTCCAATTTAGAAATTACAGGCTAATAAATGTAACGGCAATATTGAACAAACCTTTTTTTTTTTTAATTTTCAAGCAGCCAAGACATAAAGAAAACCATATTGGTTTCACAGTTCTCATATAATGGCTGGAGGCATATGACTTAATCCAAGAGACAACCTATTCCTTACCTTTGAAACACCTGTGAATATTATCAAAAGGACACACACAATAATTTACAAGAGATAACAAGTTTAATAGAAGGTGTTCTTCGAAGAAGTTTTTCAACATCATTCTGTGGAGTACTGCCTTTTATATTGACAGTTGATAAAACCCGAAGGTAAAATATTAAATTATTTATAGGTAAAGGCAATTCAGCGCAGTTATTCATCTTTCTTGTTAATTTAACATGATCCAAGTATATGTACTAAGGAATTTAGAAAAATGAATGGTAGGAGTGGTACTGAAAGTATCCTCACATACCAAATCTCTTAGGAAAGGTTTTTAAGATGCAATTCCTACTTTAAATAGCCACTGCCTAAAGTGTTAATTTTCTCAGTGACTAATTGAGAAAACACCAATATGCTTACTTCTTTGGGCAAGAAGTTAATACGACCACTCCCAACATTTAGTCAAAAGTACTATCAAATCTGTAGCATGTTCACAACATATTAAAAAATGAAACAAGAATACAAATAAAGAAAATAAAATACATTTCACATTTTTTGAAAAAACATTCATTTTTGCATAATAATTTTAAGTGAAATTATGCAGATGTTAATTGCATCACATATGTTTTCCCCTGCTGTACTGACTTCTCAAAAACAAGTTAGAACTTTTCACTGTGATAGATTCAGAAGAACCATGTTGACATTTTCATGAAAAAAAATAGAGTATTACTGAAATAAGAAGGGAAATATACTCAATCAATTGCCTCACCTTGACTGTTCAGGAAAAAAAAGTGGAGGAATACACTTTATTCTACAGATTTCTAAGGATATTACATCAAAAAAAGTACAAAATGACAATTTTACAGTTAGAAATTATGTTCTATTCTAAAATGAATAAAGTTTTCTAGTTTTGCATTTTTTTTTCAAAAGAATTCACTTCAAAAAAAAACTTGTGAATTAGCATAAAATAACCCCTTATCACAAAGGAGCCCAAACTAAGGAGGCACCAACTAAGGCTGAAACAAACTGAGCATTCTTATTCTCAGCACCTGCGCCTGGCCTGGCCCAGGGTGACATGCAGGGGCTTGGAGCCCACTATGCGGCCATTCATCTCATCCACTGCTTTGGTAGCCTCTTCAAAAGAGGAAAAGCAGACCACACCAAATCCTTTGCCTTGCCCCACTTCCATCATCACTTTGGCCCGACTAATTGACCCAAAGGAAGAAAATTCCTCCTTCAGTTTTTCATCATTGATTGTCTCATCCAAGTTCTTAATATAGATAGGCACCCCTGGGGGCCGACTTTTTTCTTTTAACCTCAGCCGTTCAAATCTCCGCCTCAACTCAGCCAGGCGTTCAATTTTCTTCTGTGCTCGCCCTACATAGAGGACTTTTCCATCGATGGACTTTCCATGCAAGTCTAGCACAGCCTTTTGGGCAGCCTCGTGTGTCTCATATCTCACAAATCCAAAGCCTTTAGATTTCCCACTGGCATCTCTTATTACTTTAACACTCTCAGTTGGCCCATATTCACAGAAAAGTTCCTTCAGTTTTTCGTCATCTATGTCGTCTCCAATGTTTTTAACGAAAACATTGGTGAAAGTTGCTCTATCCCTGGTTCTGACCTCAGCCGCCCGCTCTTCTGGGAATTTGAATCTGCCAACATACACCTGGCGGTTGTTGAGCCGCACTCCATTCATGTGCCAGATGGCTCTATTGGCAGCGGCCAGGCTGTCAAAGTGAACATAGGCATAACCCTTAGAGCCGTTGTCATCGCATACGACTTTGCAGGACAGAATGTTCCCAAAAGCAGAAAATAAGTAAAACAGGGCCCTATTGTCTATGGATTTGTCCAGGTTTTTGATGAATATATTTCCCACTCCAGACTTTCTTAAGCGGTCATCTGGCTGAGACCACATAAGGCGGAATGGTTTTCCATTAATCAAATCAAAATTCATGGTGTTCAAGGCCCACTCTGCATCCGCGGGAAAGCGGAAGTTAACATACCCATAGCCCAGGGGGCTGCGGGTCACCGGATCACGGCAGATTCGGGTGAATCGCAGAGGGCCAGCAGGCCTGAACTTCTTATAGAGCATGTCCTCGGTGACATCTGGGTCCAAGTCACCCACGTACAGAGCGGCCTTGAGATACTTCTTTTTCTTGCCAGCAGGATTAGGCTCCCCGCTCCCCATCTCTCTGAGCACTGGGAGGAGGTTCTCTTTGAAGAGAAAAAAGGCTGCTTTCTCTAAGCTATGGGCCAAACAGCTGTTCACGAACAGAAAAAGCCAAGGCAGGCAAAAGGAAGCTAAAAGCAGACTCAGAATCACTGTCGAGGCTGAGAAAATGAAGTTCAGAAACAGCTGGTCAGCAGGCTCAGAACAAACACATCAGACAAAAAGGCGCCCCAAATACGAATCTATTCTCCCTGCGGGGACTTAAAATTGTCACCCGTTCAGATTTAAAATCAGTTTCAAAAGCCAGTACCAGAAACGTAATTTTCCTGTCCCCGTGAAATTGTGAGAAGCCACCAAGCAGCTGGCTGGTTCCCCACAACTAGCATTGCAGACAGAGGCCTCCCGACCCGCTTTCTGCATAAATATAGGCCTAGAGCTCCTGTTGGTTTAAAATGATATCAACAAGGGCAGGGACCGAGCGCGTATTCCTCCGCCGGCTGCCTGGCCAGTCTCGGGCTGGCTAGCCTTTCGCTAAGGCCTCTCCGCACTCAGCGTCTGCGAAAGGGTACACCAGACACTTGGTGCGATAAGACCGGCAGGCAGGCTGCAGGCAGCGGATAGGACACAGAGACAGACAGACAGACACACGCGCGGGGGATCGAAGACCGCCCAGATACCCAAGATGCCCACTGGGTACGGACCGAGTGAGGCGCGGTGATTTCAGCAGCCTGAGGCTCGAGGCAGGTCCGGAGAGACTGACTGGCAAACGCGCAGTGAGTGGGTCAGCTCTGACGCGAGGCGGGTCTGGCCAGATGCGGGGCGGAGTCAGCGAAGAAGGGCAGATGCGCGGCGGGCGGTCCCAGCGCAGACCGATGGGCTGGGGTTTCTCTCCGCAGGACAGTCCAACGGAGGGACCAAGAGCCAGTAGCAGTGATAGGGAGGGGGGACAGGCGGGGCGCGAGAAACCCGGAACCGTGCTAAGTAACTTCCCGCTTCCTCTGTACCAAGATTTAAAAAAAAAGAGAGAGAGAGAAGGGGGGAGAGAGAGAGAGAGAGAGAGAGAGAGAGAGAAGGGGAGAGAATGAGAGAGAGAGAGAGAAGGAGAGAAAGAAAAATCTAAGATGGCTTTTAGATGTTTCTTATATTTTAAATGTTATTTATTATTTAAAACACTATATTTAAGCCGAACATCTAAAAATCACATAAGAAGATGACGACCTGGGCAAAAATAATAAGTTTTAAAAAACTAATTATCAAAATCATTTAAGCTTAGGGAAAAGGATAGGTTGCATACTTTCCTGAGTGCATTGGAAAGTCAAAGTTTACAAATGTCCTGGCCTCCCAATCCAGTGCTAAAGGATCACAGGGTCAAGTAGAACACAGGACCATGTTGCCTTTGGCCTTTAGCCTTACTTCATTAATCTCCAACATAATGGTAATATTTTCCTCAGGTGGTAGGCAAAGAGATCTTTTCTCTGATCCCATAATACTAAGGTTTTAATGATTGGAGAGCCATATAATGGCTTTTGATGGTGTTTAGTGCCACAAAACGTTGAAACTGTTGAGCTGCCGCGAGAATTACAGTTACAAAATCTCAGTTAAAGAGATAAAAGCCACAGAATCAATACAAAATATGTAATTAATATTTACAGATGAAATAAACATGTTAAGATATATGCACTTTACACAATTATGAATTTCATCATGAGTTGTCAACTTGAAACCCTTGAAGGAAACAGTGCCATCAGACTGGACTCAACTCAGCAGTTTCTCAACAATATCTCTCTTCAGAGTATTTGAGAAACCCTTTTGGAGAGAAATTTTGACCGTGTTTTCAGAAATTCACTGATATCTAGCATGCGCAAACAACACTTCAAGAGGCTCCTTCCACAATTCCTACCCCTCCAGAAAAATCCAAACAAAACATCTATCACTACTCTTAGGCTGGAAAAGATCCTGGGAAAAAAAGATTGCAAGAGAAGGACATTACCTTAGTGGGTGTTTTCCTAATAAGTCCTCAGAATAAGAGGCTAAATTAACGTATTCATTCACTTTATACATTTTATAGTGTCTATTAGACTGTAGAGTTGACATTAAACCTCATTATTTACTCAAAAACTTAGTAATTTTCTTTACTATTTTTTTTTTTTGCTTGCTTTCTAGTGTTCTTGGTTAACTAAGACATGGAGATTTTGAGAAAAGGCAAATATGAACAATGATATTATAGACTAATAAATGGGTTTTACAGTGTGACCAGAGTGACCAACATGTGGAAACACTTGTGAACATCTGCCTAGTTTATTGCATTTTGAATATATTTTTATAAACATATTTTCTTTTATGCGTAATTAACAATGGGTTAGAATTCTAGTCTGTTTTGGACTTTTCTCATTTTTAAAACTGCCTTATTGAAAATAGTAAAATAACAACATAAATCCAATTTCCACAATCTCATCATTGATTCAAATCAATATTTTCATCTGTTCCTGTAACCAACTAAATGTTGTCCATATTCAAATTTATTTGTACATATTTTCTCTAAGATTATAGTTAGAATTGATTTGTTATAATACACGTTTTCAAAATAATCACTTCTCTACACTTACCACTTCCATTCAACATAGTACTGGAAACCTTAGGCAGAGCAATTAGGCCAGAGAAGGAAATAAAAGCATCAAAATCAGAAAGAAAAAAGTAAATTAATCTTTGTTTGCAGATGGCATAATCTTATCTGTAGAAAACCCTAAAGTCTAATATTTTTTAAATCTCCATACTATCCAAACTGATCAATATAATCCCTATCAAAAGCCCAATGGCATTTTTTTTTTACAGAAATAGAAAAAACAACCTAAAATTCATTTGTAGTCACAAAAAAACCCTGAATAACCAAAGCAATCTGAGAACGAAGAAAAAAGCTGGAGACACCATTCTTCCTGATTTCAAAACATGTTACAAAGCTACAGTAATTACAACACTGTAGCACTGTCATAAAAAACAGACATATAGGCCAATGAGGCAGAATAAAGAGCCCAGAAATAAACCCACACATGTACAGTTAAGTGGTCTTTGACAAAGGTGCCAAGAAAACACAATAAAGAAAGGATTGTCTCTTTCACAAATAGTGTTAAAAACTTGGATATACGTAAAATTGGATCCTTATCTTACACTGTACACAAAAATCAACTCAAAATACAGACTTTCAACCTGATCCGAAACTATAAAATTTTAGAAGAAAACAGGGTAAGAGCTTCTTGACATTAGTCTTACCAATGACTTCTTGTATATGACACCAAAACACAAGCAAAAAAAAAAAAAAAAGAATATAGAAAAAGAGTACATCAAATTAAAAGGCTTCTGCACAGCAAAATAAACAATCAACAGTGTAAAGGTAGCTTACAGAATGGGAGAAAATTTTTGTAAAACAAGTATTTGATAAGGGGCTATCGTCCCCAAATAAAAGGAACTTTTACAACTTAATGGCAAAAACAAACAAAGAAACAACTTGAATAGTCATCTCTCAAAAGAAGGAATATAAATGGCTAATGGGTAAATGAAAAGATGCTCAACATCATAATCATCATTGGAATGCAAATCAAACCCTTAATGAGATGTCGTCTCACATCTGTAGAGATGGCTATTATAAAAAATCAAAACATAACAAATGTTGGCCAGTATGTGGAAGAATTGGAATCCATTACCTTTGGTGGGAATGTAAAGTGGTACAACTGCTATGGTAAACAGTATGGAGGTTCTTCAAAAACTTAAAAGTAGAAATTCCATATGAAGCAGCAATCCTACTAGGATTGCTAAATCCTTACAAGGTAACATGTAACCTTACTCCTGCAATCTGCCAACATTCATGCTCTCTACCCCTCCCCACACACAACTAATTGAGTTAATATGTATCCAAGTTCTACTGGATAGTAGTCACATATATTTAGGTATATATCCAAAGTAATTGAAATCAGAATCTCAGAGATATTTGCACTCCCGTGTTAATTACAGCATTATTTACCATAGCTAAGTCTTGGAAATGACATAAATGTCCATTGATGGTTGAATGCATAAAGAAAATGTGGTATAAACATACAATGGAATATTATTCAGCCTAAAAAAAAAGAAATCCTGCAGCATGTGGCAACAGGGATGGGATGGAGCTCAAGAACATTATGTGAAGTGAAATAAGCCAATCACGGAAGGGCAAATAGTGCATGATTCCATGTCAATGACATATTTAGAATAGTTAGACTCATGGAAACAGAGAGTAGAGTGGTGGTTGGGAGCGACTGCTGGAGGGGAACTGGGGAATTCAGTGGACATAAAGTTTTGGTTACACAAGATGAACAAGTTCTAGAGAGCTGCTGTACAACATTGTGCCTATATTTAAAAATACTGTATTGTGCTCTTAAAAAGTTTGTTAGAAGGGTTGATCGCATGTTAAGTGTTCTTAGTACAATTTTTTAAAAAAATCATTCAACTGTGAAGAAATATGAGTATTAAAAAACATATAATAAAAATAATATAACAACTTTAAATATATTTTGAGTTAGTTTGGCATCTCCTCAGGGTGATTTTTTATTTTAAAATATTTAATGGACAAAGATCGTATATATTCAAGATGTACAATGTGATGATTTGCTATATGTATGCATTGTATAATGATGACTAAAATCAGATTGATTAACACATCTTAGAGTGCCCTTTTAATTAGATATTATTAGTTTAAAATAAATACTTAGAATAGTACATGTGAATTTAAGCAGTTACTATGTATTCAGAATCCAGTGTATTTAGAGATTTATATATAATTAAGCTATTTTCTGTTATGATACATTGAAACAAGGTAGGCGATCGTTGCCTGCTTAGCAGATAGTCTCAGACAAATTTCTGTTTCTTTGCTAGTGCTTGTTAACTGAACACGTCTCATATAGGGAAAATATATATTTAGCACATTCTCTGATTAGAAATCTTGATTTGTAGTCCTTTCACTTGACCTAGAAGAATAAATAAAAGAATAATAATTTTAAAAGATGTGAACATTATGCTTTATTTTAAATTTTAAAATTGTTGTAAAATACATGTAACAAAATTTACCATCTTGATGATTTTTAAGTGTTTAAGCGGTATTAGGAACATTCATATTGTTGTGTAACCATCACCATTATCTATCTCCAGAACTCTTTTTATCTTGTTAAACTGAAACTCTATACCTATTAACCTGTGCTTTTAGATGACATTTAAAATATATTAAACCGTTTCTCTATTGTTGGACATTAAAGCTGCTTTTAGTTATTTTAGTATTATAACAAACAATGCTATAATAAACATCCACATTGCGTAATTTTATATATTATTGATTCTATTAACTAGATTCTCAGAAGTGGGGATTGCAAAATTAAGTGGTATGTATATTATGAAATGTTATTATATACTGTCAGACTTGTTTCAAATATGCTGTAGCAATTTATCTATTTTGCCAAAAACATGAAAAATTGGAGGAACTTGGAATTTCTAGCAAAATAGAAATTACCAAATTTCATTGAAAGGAAAAAAGAACAATAGCCTTAGAAAAAAATGACAGAATGATTACACATATGCTACTAATAAAACGAACAGGAACAGGTGATTTTATAGTTGAGTACTGTTATATAACCTTTGAGAAAACATAAGGCATGGTGGCTCACTCCTGTAATCCCAGCACTTTGGGAGGCCGAGGCAGAAGAATTGCTTGAGCCCAGGAGTTCAACAGCAGCAGCCTGTTGAACATGGAAAGACCCCAGCTAATTAAACAATTAGCTGGGTGTGATGGCAGGCACCTGTGTTAGCAGCTACTCAGTGAAGTGAGAGTATCGCTTGAGCCCAGGAGGCAGAGGCTGCAGCAAGCCATGTTCATGCCACTACACTCCAGCCTAGGCAACAGAGCAAGACCCTGTCTCAAAAAAAAAAAAAAGAAAAGAAAAAGAAAGAGAGAAAATACATGTACAGCCAATGGCATTCCAACCATAAAAATGCATATTCAACCATAAAAGCTCCTGAATCATTTTTATAACATTATCTCTGAGTGAGTAGTCACATAAACTTAGCCCATGTTTTCAAAGCAGACTAGTGTATATATTCATGGTCAGTCCATTTACCAGTAAAACTTGGATATATATGGACTCAATTAGGTGTGTGCAGGGCAGGGTAGAGAGCGTGAGAATTGCAGATTGCAGGAGAGGGTTACACGTTAGCTTGTAAGGATTAAGAAAGGAATATGTGGCAGGAAGCTAATTGAAGACTTCTGGTTTAGAACGTCAGACCAAACCAAACCATCTTCCAAATACTGACCATCATATATTAACATTTTGTCCTCATTTGTGGAATGTCTGTTCAAAAATATAAAACATGGAGAACACTTCTCCGCAAATGAGGAAAAGTTAAAATTGTAACAAGCAGATGATTGAGGAAAAGCCTCTGCCTTTCCTTACATAAAACTGCGTATGTAAAACAATACATTATTATTTAATCAATTTCAATGGAAAAATCGTAGAGTTTCTTTCTCTTAAAGCATCCTGTGTCCCCAAATCTCTGCCTTGTGTTTATCAACATACTAAGTAATAAGGCAATTCCTGTGAAAGCTGATGGGACTCCCCTTTTATAGTTCTCAGTCATCCACATTAATCCACATAATAGAAAACAGGAACTGCGTTCCCATTTTCTTCTGAGAGTGATCACTATTTTTCTGCTTTTTTACATATAACAGCAGTTATATCAATTGCACATTATATTTAAAGGGTAAAATATCTTCATTTTCCATTTGGTCTTTTAATTCCTTAGTACTTCTTCTTTGCCACTGTCTAAAATATGCTCTTAAAAAGTTTTTTTATTATAAAATTTCCTTTCCATATATTTCATTTTGGGGGTGAGGTGGCATAAAAATATTTTACCCTTATAAAATGTAATGAATATTTCTACTATTATTTTATTAATATTATACATTTACTTCCTTACTTTGTCCTTTAAACCTAATTCCTGTGCAATATCAGAGAGTGTAAATGACAATACTAGAATCTGACAATGTGAAAACTCAAAGAAACTCCAAGGCTTAAAGTAAACTAATGCATCTGATCCGAGAAGAAACACACATTCTAATTACTTTGATTTTTCTCAATAAAGAATCATCGGTAATACTTACCTTTGGTTTATATTATAATCAAAATAAGTATTTGTTGACTTGGAGCAATACTTAAGCTCTAGCACATTTCCATTAGAAATACAGTTTAAAAATTTATATATACATATAATATAGATATATATATATTTCTCCAAAAATGTTGAATTTCTTTGGGAATTAGAAATGAAGTTTATAACCTGAGATGCACAGCTATGCCAAGTCATGCATGCATTTGAAGAGGCAGAGTAAAGGGAAGCTGATATTGGCAAAAAAATAAGTTCACATAAGCTGCTTGGAAATAGAGTTCATTGGTTTTGGAGAATCGAAGACAGAGTTGGCGTAAGTTCACTGGTGGAAACGTCACTACTGGAAAGGTGTTCTTTTAATAGCATCTTATATGAATTATTACAGTATTGAAGAAATAATTTCTTTGAGGGTTATTTTATTTTTTAAAACTTTTTGTTTCCATAGGTTTTTCGGGAACAGGTGGTATTTGGTTCCATGAGTAAGTTCTTTAGTGGTGATTTGTGAGATTTTGCTGCAGCCATCACCCCGGAAGTATGCACTGAACACAATTTGTAGCCTTTTAGCTCTCACCCGCCTCCCACCCTTTCCCCGGAGTCCCCAAAGTCCGTTGTATCATTCTTATGCCTTTGCATCCTGATAGCTTAGCTCCCACTTCTGAGTGAGAACATGCGATGTTTACTTTTCCATTCCTGAGTTACTTCACCTAGAATAATAGTCTCCAGTTCTATCCAGGTTGCTGCAAATGTCATTAATTCATTTCTTTTTATGGCTGAGTAGTATTCCATCATATAGATATATACATATGTGTGTGTGGCACAATATCTTTATCCACTTGTTGATTGATGGGCATTTGGGCTGGTTCCATATTTTTGTAATTGTAAATTGTGCTGCTATAAACATGCATGTGCAAGTATCTTTTTCGTATAATGACTTCTTTTCCTCTGGGTAGATACCCAGTAGTGGGATTGGTGGATCAAATGGTAGTTCTACTTTTAATTCTTTAAGGAATCTCCACACTGTTTTCCATGGTGGTTGTACTAGTTTACATTCCCACCAGCAATGTAGAAGTGTTCTCATTTCACTGCGTCCATGCCAATGTCTATTATTTTTTGATTTTTTCATTATGGCCATTCTTGCAGGAGTAAGGTGGTGTCACATTGTGGTTTTGATTTGCATTTCCCTGGTCATTAGTGATACTGAGCATGTTTTCGTACGTTTGTTGGCCATTTGTATATCTTCTTTTGAGAATTGTCTGTTTATATCTTTAGGGACTTTTTGATGGGATGGTTTGTTTTTTTTTTTTCTTGCTGATTTGAGTTCCTTGTAGATTGTGGATATTAGTCCTTTGTTGGATGTATAGATTGTGAAGATTTTCTCCCACTCTGTGGGTTGTCTGTTTACTCTGCTGACTGGTCCTTTTGCTGTGCAGAAACCATTCTAGACATTGGCTTAGGCAAAGACTTCATGACCAAGAACTCAAAAGCAAATGCAACAAAAACAAAGATAAATAGGTAGGAATTAATATTAAAATTAGATTTAAATTTAAATAGAAGAGACAAACCTGCCTCAAAAAAAATCAAAGGATATAAGAGGTCCTGGTATAGTTACTGTTGATTGAAGTGTCCTGATTGTGGCTCAAATTTTTTATCCTTATTTCTTTTCATGGTTGTTAAAGTCTTAATTCTAGACTTTGGTTGCTGAAATAGCCTTGAAACTGATTTACTATTAAGACAAAAAAATCATTCATTAATAATGTGGGGACATTTGTTTTGGTTAATTTGTTGACGTACCTGTGGCTCCAATAACACTGAAATAACCTTTAAAATGTTTGGATACATTATCATCAACTTAAGTGAGCTCTCTGTTTCAGTTTGACTGCTAGGTATTTCACGTTTGCTTCAACTCTTCCCCCCTCACCAACACGACATGTATTTTTCTTCACATAATTATTTATAGATCTTATTTCATTTTCATGACACTCAATATATGATGATATTAAGGTGCATTTTAAGATATATGTGATCATTTTAAGATCTATTTGCAGTCCACTTACTTATATAAAGTATATTTATTAAGGGACCCCTATGTGTCAGGCACTATGCTTGGCCTAAGGGATAGAATGTTGAACAAGATAGACATGGTTTCTGCCATACGTAGTAGTTTTTACATTCTAGAGGGGGGAATATAATTAAAAAAACATAAGAAATAAGTGAATTTTAGTTTATGACATGCTTACAGGAAGCATGGTGCTAGCATCTGCTCAGTTTTTAGGGAGACCTCAGGCAGCTTTTATTCAAGGTGGAAGGTGAAATAGGAGCAGACACTTCTCATGGTGATAACAGGTACAAGATGAGGGCAGGGTGCCACACTTTTCAACAATCAGATCTTGCAACTCATTATCCAGATCTTGCAACTCATCAATTAAGATTGAGGAGGCGGAATAAAAATGGAAGATAAAAATCAAAAGAAAGAAGGACAATGAATAGAAAACAGTAAAAAATGTTGCAGATATTAACCAAATTATATCAGTAATCACCTTAAACATCAATGATCTAAATACAGCAATTAAAAGACAGAGACTGTCAGAGTGGATTATAAAAGACCCAACTGTGTGTTGTCTTAAAAAAAAAAAACTATTTTCAATATAAAGACACATCTAGATTAAAAGTAAAGGGATAAAGAAAGTGAGTGGCTATATCAATTTCAGAGAGAGTAGACTTCAGAGCAAGAAAAATTGTCAAGGATAAAGAGGACTGTTACCTAGTGATAAAAAAGTCAATTATTCAAAGAGACATAATAATATTTAATGAATGTGTCTAAAAACCGTGTCAATATAGATGTGGCAAAACTAATAGAAATGCAAAGAGAACAATACTAATCTACTATTATATTGGAATACTTCAACACCCCTCTGTCAGAAATGAACAGATCCAGCCAGAAGATTATCAGGAAAGATACAGTTGAACTTAACAACATTATCAATCAATTGGATCTAATAGACACCTATAGGATATTTTACCCAGCAACAGGAGAAAACACATTATCCTCAAGCTTACACGAATTCAACAAGATAGACCTTATTCTAGGCCACACAACACACTAAACCAAATTTAAAAGAATATAAATTATAAATGTGTGCTCTCAGAGCACAATGGAAATAATTAGAAACCAACAACAGAAAGATAGCTGGAAAACCACAAAATACATAAAAATTAAGCAACACACTAATAAGTAAGACACATGGCTACGAAAAAGTCTCAAGAGAAATTTAAAAATACTTTGAACTAAATGAAAATGAAAATAAAACTTATCAAAAATCATGTGATGCCACAAAACTAGTGCTTACAGGGAAATCTATAGCAGTGAATTAATATGAATTTATATATTAAAAAGAAGAAAGATCTGAAATGAGTAATCTAAGCTTCCACCTCATGAAACTAGAAAAAGAGAAAATTGAATCCAAAGTAAGCGGAAGAAATAATATAACACATATTTACAATAAATGCAACTCTAGTTTCAAATAACGCTATGCCACTTTGGAAGCAGTACAAATACCCTCTAATGAAGTATTGCTAATTTCTCCTTCCCATTCCTCTATAATAACTGTCATTCATTTAACTTATCTATAGCTATAATAATTGTATACATTGTTGCTATTATTATTTTGAACAAACTTATTTGTTAGATCATTAAAAATAAGAAATATGTTTTATTTTACCTTCATTTATTCATTTACTAATGTTCTCATTTTCTTTATTTAGGTCCAAGTTTCTGACCTATGTGATTTTCCTTATCTTTAGATAAATATTTTTAACCTTTCTTGCCAGGTAGTCTTACTGGCAGCAATTGCATCAATTTTTGTTTGTCTGGAAGAGTCTTTATTTGTCCTTCACTTTTGAACATTAATTTGGCTAGATGGATAATTCAAGCTGGTGGGGTGTTTTCAAGACTTTAAATATTTTATTGTACCTTCTTGTTGTTAGCAGCTTTTTTTTTAGAAAAAAAAGAGGAAAGTTTATTGAAATTTCAAGCTACATTTGAAAAATCAAAACCCAAATCCTGGAAACATACATCAGGATAATGTGTCAGAAACTATCACACACTCCCTGTATTGGTCCTTTCTCATGCTGCTATGAAGAAATACCGGAGACTTCATCATTTATGGAGAAAAGAGGTTTTAACTGGCTCACAGTTCCACATGGCTTAGAAAATGCCCCAAGAAACTTACAGTCATGGTGGAAGTCATCTCTTCACAGGGCAGCAAGAGAGAGAATGAGTGCCAAGTGGAGGGGGAAGCACTTTATAAAACCATCAGATCTCGTGAGAACTCACTCACTATCACCAGAACAGCATAGGGAAAACCATCCCCATGAGTCAATTATCTTCACCTGGTCCCGCCCTTGACACGGGGATTATTACAATTCAAGGTGAGATTTGGGTAGGGACACAGAATCAAAGCATATCACTCTCCTACAGACAAGCTCCCTGTGTACACCTCCCAGGCTCCATTTGATTAAAGCCATTCCCTTGTCCATCCCTCATCCACAGTAGGACACCCTCCTTCTTTTCATTTGTAAGTTTTCCACATAATTATTTATTTATTTTTAAATAATTAAAAAAAATTTAAATGACACTGTGAAATGCAAACTGGTCCGTTAACCCCATTCTATGAAGTCAGCATCAGTGAATGGTGGGTATGGCATTCAAATGACTTCATGTGTCTCCAGTGGACAGCTGGGGAAAGGATTGCAGCAGTAAGGCATCTGTGGCTGCATTCAGAGGCTGGCACCCTCCCTGCCTTTACTTATGAGTCTTACTTAACCTAAAGGAGAAACTGCATCAATATGGTAAATGAACACAGTCAAAAGACTGAGCCTTAAGAGATAAGGTACCAGTCAATACTCCCAAAGCTGTTTAGGCCCTTCAACGTGTAGGTGGATGAGTGTATGTATATATCACTACACTAAGATACAGATCTAGCCCTATGGGTGTGTGTGTGTGTTTGTGTGTGTGTGTGTGTGCATGCATTTGTGACTTTAAGAAAAACTATGCCAATACTAACCAAGCAGAACTTTGTAAGCAGTTATCCTAAAGCTGTAATCTCACACTGCACTGTGTACAAAACCATGCTTTATACCATATTAACCAACAGAAGGCTGACTTGGCTCAATCTGTCCCATCTGTGTCCTCTGCTTTCACAAAGCAGAGGAGAAAAGGGAGGCTGCCTCTGCTTAAAACACAAGTGACTTATTCCTAGGAACAGTTATTGTCAGGTGAAATTGCTGAAGATGTCCATGGAATAAGAAACAGGCCCCTTATACTTTCTGGAGAAAACTGGTATCACATCTCAAACTACCCTTCCTCTTTGCCAGTTGCAACTAAGTTGCCCAGTCCCTGGGAGGCCCCAGGGTTCAGTAGCATTAGAGGCTCATTGGCTTTGAGTTACTAGACCCCATGCAAATCAGCCTCCAGAGATCTACTCTTTGCTGGGGATCTGTCACTAGAGTGGACCCAGGTGGCCATGTCCTTTTTTCTTTTCTTTTTTTTTTTTTTTGACAGAGTCTTGCTCTGTCGCCCAGGCTGGAGTGCAATGGCACAATCTCGGCTCACTGCAGCCTCCACCTACCAGGTTCAAGCAATTCTCATGCCTCAGCCTCCCGAGTAGCTGGTATTACAGGTGTGTGCCACCACGCCCAGCTAATTTTTGTAGTTTTTTAGTAGAGATGGGGTTTCACCAAGTTGGCCAAGCTGGTGGTTCTGTCCTCAGAGTGAGCAAAGCCACCAAACTTATTTTACCTAGTTCTTTCCAGTTTGTTTTTGTCTCCCCAAGCATCATCTCATGAGAAGTTGACACCTTGCATAGCTGGTGTAACCACTTACACTGCAGAACCACCAAGGGCCTCAGGCACTTGGGATTCTGGAGCTTCCTCTTTAGGGCTCAGACCAGACTGGAACTTCTCCAGCTGCTCTGGGCTCGCCAGGGTTTTCAAGAGGGTGTTGTTGCACTCCAGCTAGGAGTTCATCTCCATCAGCTCTAGTATCTGCTCCTTCAGAATCTCCACCTCTTCTCTCACAGCATGCATCAGATGATTCTTCATCACATCCAGGGATCCGTGGCTTGCTCTATCTTGTTGTCTACGGCCACCGTGCTGGCTCTGGAGGCACTGACTTTAAAGCTAGCTAGGAAGTCCTTCTGGGCTGGGAAGCTTGCAGCCTTCTCCAAAGCAGTGCATGGTGGACAGCCAGAAGCCTGCCCCACCCTGCACAGCCCTGCACAGCCCTGCACAGCCCAGCCCACCTTCCCTCTGATTCTGGCTACCTCTGTGGCTGCAGCAGCTGGTTCTGACGGCACAGGCTGCAATTTAAAAAAAGAAGTCCAGTATAATTCTTATCCTTGTTGCTTTCTAGTTACGGTATTTTTGTCCCTTATGACCTGTTTCAAGATTCTTTCCGTCTTTGATTTTCTTTATATAATTTTCCCAGGTGTAGACTTTTTGACATTTATACTGCTCTGTGTGCTCTGAAATTCCTGTAACTGTGGTTCGTGTCTGACATTAATCCTAGTAGATTCTTGGTCATTATTGCTTCAAGTATTTCTCCTGTTCCTTTCTCATTTTCTTCTTTTCCCAGTATTCTCATTACATATATGTTATACCCTTTGTAGTAATCTCACATTTCTGTTCTATTTTTTTTCTGTATTTTTGTTCTTTGCATTTCAGTTTGTGAAATTTCTATTGATGCTATCTTCCAGTTCACTGTTTCCTTCATGGGCCATGTTCAATTTACTAATGAGCCTGTCAAAGGTATTCTTCTTTTTTGTTACAGTGTTTTTTATTTCTAGCGTTTCTTTGTATTCTTTCTTAAAATTTCCATATCATGGCTTACATTATCCATCTGTTCTTGCATGTTGACTTTTTTTCATTAGAATATTTGGCTTATTAAATCAGTTATTTTTAATTTTCTACCAGATAGTCTTCAAATCTGTGTCATATCTGAATCCAGATCTTATATTTGCTCTGTCTCTTCAAATTGTGTGGTCTTTTACTATCCTTTGTAATTTTTTGTTGGAAGGAAGTCATGATATATTGGATAACTGTGGTACATAGGTCTTTACTGATGTATTGCTAGAATGTGGGTGGAAGGAGAATCATTATATTGCCCTATGGTTTGACCTCAGCCTTTTAGTGAGCCTGTTTCCCTGAGCTATGACCTTTGTAAGTGCTTCTCATCTTTCCTCCACCACCTAGGTGATGCAGGGATTCCAGATATTGCTGGAGTTGAATATTTTCCTTCCAGGTGGGTTAGCCTCTGGTAAAACCCCAAGTGGATACAGCTTTGACAAAATAGTCTTTCTTGAGGGCAGGCCTTGTGAAAAACTGAATGCTCTCAGAGTATTTCCTAATGGCTACTTTTCCTCTCCTCCTGCTGAAATAACTAAGACATTTTTCTCTGATGTTCACTGTGAGAACCTAGTTATCTCTTGGCAGTAAAGCTTACAAAAATGTGAAAGCATCTCCAAGACTACCCCCACCTTGGAGCTTTTAACTCTCAAACTTTTTTCACACAAATCCTCCAGAAATGTATTAATTACTGTTTAGATTTTTCTACTCTGGATTGGTTAACATGGGGATTTCTGTGTGTGCATTTCTTCTTCAATAAGTTGTTATTCTATCTGCTTATCTTCCTCTCCAATTTTGGGGACAGTGGTTTACCCTGTGCCCTAGGTTCTCTGATGAATCAATAATATGGTGTTGAATTTCAGTTTGTTCAGCTTTTGTTGTTGTTGTGTGGACAGGACTGTTGACCTCCACATTCTTTACATGATGAGCTGGAAACTGGAAAGTCCCTTTATGAACATTTCAAGTGGGAAAGTTTTCTGGGAACTTTTTGTCTCTGTATTGACATGTTAGTAATTCTTTTTATTTATTTATTTATTTATTTTTTTTGAGATGGAGTTTCTTTCTTGTCGCCCAGGCTGGAGTGCAGTGGCACAATCTTGGCTCACTGAGACCTCTGCCTCCCAGGTTCAAGCAGTTCTCCTGCCTCAGCCTCCCTAGTAGATGAGATTACAAGCGCTTGCCACCATACCTGGCTAATTTTTGGATTTTTAGTAGAGACAGGGTTTCTCCATGTTGGTCAGGCTTGCCTCGAACTCCTGACCTCAGGTGATCTGCCTGCCTCAGCCTCCCAAAGTGCTAGGATTACAGGCGTGAGCCACCGCGCCCGGCAGTAATTCTTATAACAAGATTTTCTTTCATTTATGAGTGGAAGCTGACATGATGTTAGTCCTTGGGAGAAATTAATAGTCCTGTGCATCTTGAGTCAGAATAAAAGTTCACTTCAGAGAAAAAAACCTAACTATATAAAAACAGGGAAATAGGTAAAGACAAATACCAAAGTGATAAGTTTAGTTGTTTATCCAACAAGTTGCCTTTTATCATGTTGACAGCTATAGTATTTTTGTTTTTGTGGTTGGAAAACTGGAGTATCAATTAAGATGCTTTCAGCCCCATGTATTAGAATACCAGACTAAAATGGAATTAAACCCTAGAGGTTTATTACTTTCACATAAAGAATACCAGAGAGAGATGGTTCAGGTGTTGGTTAAGTGTCTTCTTTTATTCTCTCAGGCTTCCCCTTGAGGGATCTCATCCTCACATACTTATAACTGAAGCCCCAGGAATCTCATGCTGACAGACTATATATTTGATTCAGGCAAGGGCAAGGCAGAACATTTGCCTAGTTTATCACTCCTAATCATGGAAGAAAACCTTTCTCTGAAGTCACATCCCAGCACAGAAGATTTCTTCTTGGATTCTATTGGCCTCAGTTGGTTTTCAGGCTCAAACCCGAGTGAAGAATCAGATATAAACATTAGGGCACCATGAAAATCCAGGATGTTTATGTCTGTTTCTGAGAAAGAATACGAGAATAGTGTTTATAATATTATTTTTCGGAATAAAATGGCCTATTAAGAAAAAATATTTTACTTCTACATGAAATTTAGCATTTCAACATTGAAGTTGCTTATTATATGCATATTGTAAATGTATCCACCAAATGTTAAGCTTTTCTCATATAATTTAATTTTTATCTGCTACCAATTCTTCAATACCTGAAGAAGAGAACTATCTTAACCATGAATTTTTTGTTGAGTTAATTTCTTAGTTTAAACTGTTATCACTTGTGAAATTTATAACTACAGAAGAGCAGTATGTGAGAGACAGAGTAAAAATAGACATGTGAAGTCTGTTGTATTCGATCTAGCCGTAACATAATTATTTTGCAATGAAAGGTATAGTTCTGAATTTACTGGAACTACTTAATTCTTTTCCGTTGTAATTCAGGATAATAAACTACTTGAAAACATATGATGAAACTGAAGGACGTAGTTCCTTTTTTACTTTAATAATTGGATTCAGGTTAATTGCTCTTATTTTACATTGAAATGAATAGTTTGGTTAGGTCAGAGCTTAATAAAACATGTGAATGAAGTTACGTGGTATAAAATCATAGTTTTCTTATTTTTTCTGATGTGTTTCAGATAGAGTGATTAACCATCCCTGTTAATGTGGAACAGAGAGGTTTCCTGGGATACTGGACTTTCAGTGGTAAAAGTTGGAAAGTCTAAGGTAAGCCCAGAGGAATTGATCACTCTAGCTTCAGAGTGTCTTAAAGCTTGGAAGTATGTATTTTGGATTAGAATTCATGAATGAATTTTAGGCAGTTGGCAAATAAATGTATTTCATGGGGAGTCATCTTTCTGTCATCCTTAATATAAAACTCTTTGTTTTCTAATTTGGCTTTCTTAGTAAATTATTTGGCTTCTTTAATAGTTTCTGTAGTCACATCTTATTATTCTTTTGGTCTTTGCCTCTCATTTAAAAATAATTCTGATAATAATTAAGTTACAACATAGTATATAATATTTATTAAAAGTGTGGACTTTGTGAGAAGCATAACTTAGAAACAGAATCCATTGACTGTGAGTTTAACATATTGCATTGTGTTTTCATCTACAGCTGGCTGGCAAAATGTAATAATGTGAAAGAAGAAAACTCTAGGAAGAAACTTCAACAGTAAAATGAAATGTCTGTTGATTTAGAGTTTAATATTTATTTAATACAATATCCCCCCAGATCCACAATATTTTACTGGCAAAATTAGTCCTGACCCTTCCTGAAACTGTTTGACAATGAGAAGTTTCTGGTAATGCATAGTAGTATGTTTTAAGATAATATTTAGCTAGTGGCACATTGCACCTCCTGTTATAATTAAGGTATTTTTTGTGTTAAATACATAATTTTAAAATGTTTGCTATGATAAATATAATGTTCTGTTACAGGTTTTCTATGGTAAGTCTTCAGCATTGACTACATTGAGAATTCTTGGAAAATATGTTTCAAATTTAAAAAACTTAATGTACTCAAAGTTCTTGCGTAACACTCCTTTTACTTATATTGTAGCTACTTAGTGTGGGTCTTTTACTTGCTTTCAATTTATTTATTTATTTAACAAATATTCACTATGGGCCAAGCACTATAATAGTAAACAAGTGATAGTGATGAACAAAACAAACACATTCCCTGTTTTCCATGGTGGTTTTCAAAGTCTTTTTATAAAATAAAACAATATTTCTCTGCCTTTCAGTGCTAGTTATTTCAAATCCTTTTAGAAATTAGATAAGGTGTAATCAAATAACAAATTTTAGTTGAATTAGATTAATGTTAATTTATGCAAAGCTTCTCACATAATTATTGTACTGGTGGGAAGAATTTTTAAGCCAGCCGAGGTTAACCGTGCAATCAATTCCCATGAAGATAACGAAAGGTAATTGGACTCTGAGCAGTTGAACAAAACTAAGTTATAATGCAAGTTATGTTTTCATTTATATATGAACCTCATATTTAGTCACTTCCAAGAGAAACTGCTGTGGGGTCATTGATGGTTCCTCCTCTTCTTTACCATCCATGGACTACCCAATACCTATGTCCTTTTCTTTTTTTTTTTTTTAATGGACTGCAGCCTGGGACATACTCCCAAGTTTCCTTGGGAGCGCTCCTTCCTATGTCTTAATTAAATTTATTTCTACTTCTTAATACATTTTCCATCATTTTTTCTATCTTTGTATTAGCTCAGATACTTATAATCTCTCACATGGTTTAGTGGAGCGCTCATATATTTAGTCTTCTTACCTCCAGGATTCTCTGTTCTCATCCCATCATTTACATTGGCACAAGAATAATCTAAATGTAGTGTAAATAGAGTTATTTGTTTACAGAATAGAATGTAAATGTAAAATTTGTAGACTAGAATCTAAAAGTAAAATGTAAATACAATTTTGTTCATCTCTTGCTTGAACGTCTTCTATGGCTCCAAATATTTTCACTATAAGGATAAATTAGTCATTGCAAACAAAGTCCTTCATGACCTGATCAGTTAACCTTGTTTGCTTCATTCCCCACTGCTCTTTACCGCATACCATATACAGCTGCTTCATTGAAATAGTCTCTTCACCATTCATGCCATTTTCGTGTCATGCACTTTTATACTTGTGTGTTGCTCCCACTGTCTAGCATGTCTTTCTCTCTTTTTCTACCTTATCAACTGCTACTCACTTTTCAAAATTCCTTCTCTGAAACATACTGTTATTTCCTGATAGAGATAGTCTCAGTCCCTCATTTGATTTCCCATAGCATATTACACAAATGTTTACTATAGAACTTGCCACATTTCATCATCACTTTACCTATCTTTCCGACTCTGCTACTAGTTTCTTAAGACCAGACGCTGTCTTAAGAAACTTTGAAACTCCATCCCCTATCATAGAGATTAGCTAGTTAACTATCTAGTTAATATATGTCTTGCACTAATACTGTCTTAGTGTCTAAGACATAGCAATATGTCTTAATCATCAAAAAAGCTAAATTGCTTATTCAGAATAACTTGAATAAATTATAGATTGCTTACTTGTTAGAAAATATAAGTGATTTTACCATTTGGACACTTTGAAAATACTGAAATTATTTGCAAGGAAGATATTTAGAAGAGGACAGGTGCAATAGTGCTGCTCTGCAACTTATGAGAGCTTAGACAAGCTAGTTAACCTTTGTAATCTTCATATTACTATGTTTCATGGAGATAAAATAGCATATACCTTATGGAGTTTGTTAAGGAAAAACCTAAGACAAGTTAAATTCAACAAAGTTTATTTGAGCAAGCAGTAGCTTCTAGAACCAGGCAGCATTCTGGACCAAAGATTATTCAGAATGCTCCCACCCCCAACGTGGTGAGCTATATTTACAACAGAAAACAGAAAATGACATATAGGGATTACTTGATTGGCACAGTTTGCATTTGCCTTATTTGGGAATAATTTAGCAGCTTTCAGCAGCTTTTAGCAGCTTTCAGACCTTCAGCTGAAGGTCCGGCTACTATACTTGACTGAGACACTGTTGCTTCATTACAAGGGCGTACTACTATGTATGCTGACAACTTGTTTACACATCAAGCTAGGCCACAGTTCATTATGTAAAAATGCCCTTTTAAACCATACTTAATTTAACAATTCCCCCCATTTGGTCATCCTCTCACCCGAGAGAGATTGACCAAAGCCATAGGCATGGGGAGTTACACCATCCTCTGCAGCCTTCACAATCAATCTTCTGGATCCAGCAATTGTCAAGAATTTACAATTTCACGATGTAAAATAAGTTAGCTGACTCTTATGTTTTATGTTTTTGTTATTCCAACTGTAATGAGACCATTCAATGCACAGAAGACAGCTGTATATGGGTATTTAAAATTTTTGAGTGAATACAACACAATTCAATGCCAAGAAACTGAAACTCACCTTCCAGCAGGAGTCTCCATGAATTAACTAATCAAAATTGAACAACTGAAAGTTCAGGCACTAGGTGTAATTCATTAGTGTTTGAGTCCCATTGGTCATACTCCTTGTTTGGAATATGATGGAGAACAAGGCCCATAGCATGCTGCAAGATTGCGTGATCTAAAGAGGTATTGAATTTTGTGGTTAGTCTGGTGACACAATTCACAGTGATCTGGAGGTCCATTAACAGAAATGTAAATATTAGAAAACCTTAGAGCAGCCAAGCTTGCCATCCATTTGTCAGAGGGTAGCCTCTATGCATCTGAATCCCTGAGAGGTTTGGCCACAAATTCCAAATTTTTTCCCACTATATGAATTAGCTTTACATTTCATACAACTGACACCTCAATACTGCCAAAAGTTAGGCATCAGAAACATGATGGGAACCTTTCCTCATTGAAAACAAATTTGTCCATATTCATTTCAACATGGATACTAATTTTGATTATTTTCCTTTTTGATTTCTGATTATAGAAAATACTAAGAGGATTTTCAGGAAACGCTGTTTGGAAGGCAGAAGGGAGACGGGACAAATAGCAAGATTTTAAAGTGAAGAGGCCGGCCCAATATAGGCCCTCGGGAGCTGGAAAGGAAGGCCACCTAGTGGCGTTTGAGCGAAGGTCAGTTATATCTACTCAGTCAATAATCATAGTTCCTGAATAAAATACAAAAAGAAATTTGCTCTTAGGTGGCCCCTCTGTTGTATACTGTAGGTGTGCATAACCACACCTATTGGTGAGTAGTGTTATATAAGCAGTTACTTGTACCCACATAGGTAGTTCCTGGGTCTCTAATATTTGATGCCAGAAGGCACAGTATACCTTGTAAAAGGCATCACCCAGAGAGGATTTTTTTTAAAGTTCCTGGTAGCAATTAGGCTATTGATTGAAAAGGTAAGAGTACTACTTCTATAGATCATAGGAAAGCAATAAGTAGTGATGTTTAACATATCAGGGATAACTTTTCACTCTTCCTTTGAGGTTTTCAAGGTGTGTATGGGAACATGAAGAAGTATTGGCAATAATGGAATGGTTTCTTAAGGGTTTTTCTTTTTGCATTAGATCACAAAACCAACAATTATTTGGTTTCTTGCTAGAGCACAAGCTTTTGCTAAAGCCATCTGCAGGTTATTGTCCCATGAATTTTCCTGCATGAAAAGAGAAAGGGTGAGAACAGCAGAAAACAGGAGGAAAATTAAGGTCTTCATAATTGCAGAGAAATCTTGGTCCATGATCTTAGGAAAGCTGTCCATGTATTACAATGCCATCTGTTTCTCGGAAAGAATTTCTTTGGTTAGCTTTACCTTAGAGTCTCCAACAGGTGTGCAGTTCCAGGAGCCTGGAGGGGCCCTCTTAAGTTGTGACTTGTAGACCCAAGATTTGAGTCTCTTGAGCTTTGCTGTGGTGAGGGTGGAGAAAAAAACTTGGTAGGGTTCTTTTTATTTAAAAAAATTATTTTAGGCAGAACGTGGTGGCTCACGCCTGTAATCTGAGCATTTTGGGAGGCCGAGGTGGGCTGATTACCTGAGGTCGGGAGTTCGAGACCAGCCTGGCCAACATGGCAAAACCTCATCTCTACTAAAAATACAAAAAAAGTTTAGCCAGGCATGGTGGTTTGTGCCTGTAATCCCAGTTGCTTGGGAGACTAAGACAGAATGGCTTGAACCCAGCAGGCAGAGGTTGCAGTGAGCCGAGATCGTGCCACTGCACTCCAGCCTGGGTAACAGAGGGAGACTCCATCTCAAAAATAAATAAATAAATAAAAATTATTTTAGATTCAGGGGTACATGTGTAGGCTTGTAATACAGGTAAACTAGTGTAATGAGAGTTTGATGTAAAGATTATTTTGTCACCCAGATACTAAGCCTAGTACCCATTAGTTATTTTTTCTGCTCCTCTCCCTCCTCCCAGCCTTCACCGTTTGTTAGGCCTCAGTGTCTGGTGTTTCTCTCTTTATGTCCATCTGTTCTCATAATTTAGCTCTCACTTATAAGTGAGAACACGCAGTATTTGTTTTTCTGTTCCTGCGTTAGTTTGCTAAGGATAATGGCCTCCAGCTTTATCCATGTTATTGCAAAGCACATGACCTCGTTCTCTGTTATGACTGCATAGTATTCCATGATGTATAAGTACCACTTTTTTTTCAACCAATCTGTCATTGGTGGTCATTTAGATTGATTCTTTGTCCTTGCTATTGTGAATAGTGCTGCAGTGAACATATGTGTGCATGTGTTTTCCGTTATGATTGTTGTGAGATGGTATCTCATTGTGGTTTTGATTTGCATTTCTTTAATGATAAGTGATATTGAGATTTTTTTTCATATGATTGTTGGCTGCGTGTATGTCTTCTTTTGAAAAAGTTTATGTTCATGTCCTTTGTCCACTTTTTAATGGAGTTGTTTTTTTCTTGTAAATTTGTTTAAGTTCCTTATAGATACTGGATATTAGACCTTTGTTAGATGCATAGTTTTCAAATATTTTCTCAAATTCTGTAGGTTGTCTGTTTACTGATAGTTTATTTTTGCTGTGCAGGAGCTCTTTAGTGTAATTAGATCTCATTTATAATTTTTTGCTTTTGTTGCAGTTGCTTTTGGCATCTTCATCATTAAATCTTTGTGAGTTCCTGTGTCCAGAATGGTATTGCCTAGGTTGTCTACCAGGTTTTTTAAAAATAATTTTGGATTTTACATTTAAGTCATTAATCCATCTTGAGTTACTTTTTGTATATGATGTAAGGAAAGGGTCCACTTTCAATCTTCTGCATACGGCTAGCTAATTATTCTAGCACCATTTATTGAATAGGGAGTCCTTTCCCAATTGCTTTTGTCAGCCTTGTTGAAGATCAGATAGTGGTAGGTGTGTGGCCTTATTTCTGGGCTCTCTATTTTGTTCCATTGGTCTGTGTGTCTGTTTTTGTACCAGTTCCATGCTGTTTTAGTTGCTGTAGCCCCGTAGTATAGTTTGAAGTCGGGTAGCATGATGTCTCCTACTTTGTTCTTTTTGCTTAGGATTGCCTTGGCTGTTCAGGCTGTTTTTTTTATTATTATTATTCCAAATGAATTTTAAAATCTTTTTTTATAGTTTTGTGAAGAATATCATTAGTAGTTTGATAAGAATAGCATTGAGTCTATAAATTGCTTTGTGCAGTATGGCCATTTTAGGGATCTTGATTCTTCCTATCCATGGGCATGGAATTTTTAAATTTTTTTTTCATCTCTGATTTATTTGAGCAGTGTTTTGTAATTCTACTTGTAGAGATTTTTCGCCTCCCTCATTAGGTGTATTCCTAGGTATTTTATTATTTTTGTGGCAATTGTGAGTGGGATTATGTTCCTGATTTGGGCCTCTACTTGGCTGTTGTTGGTGTATAAAAATAGTAGTGATTTTTGTATATTGATTTTGTATCCTGGGACTTTGCTGATGTTGCTTATCAGCTCAAGGAGATTTTGGACTGAGACTATGGTGTTTTCTAGATATAGAATTAGTCATCTTCAAACAAGGATAGTTTGACTTCCTATTTGGATGCACTTTATTTGTTTCTCTTGCCTGATAGCTCTGGTTAGGACTTCCAGTATTATGTGGAATAGGACTGGTGAGAGAGGGCATCCTTGTATTGTTCCAGTTTTCAAGGGGGATGATTTTAGCTTTTGGCCATTCAGTATGATGTTGGCTGTGGGTTTGTCATAAATGGCTCTTATTGTTTTGAGGTATGTTCCTTCAATAGCTAGTATGCTGAGAGCTTTTAATGTGAATGGATGTTGAATTTTATTGAAAGTCTTTTCTGCCTCTATTAAGATGATCATATGGGATTTTTTTTCTGTTAATATGATGAATTGCATTTATTGATTTACATATGCTGAACCAACATTGCTTCCCAGGGATGAAGCTTACTTAGATCGTGGTGGATTCACTTTTTGATGTGCTGCTGGATTCCATTTGCTACTATTTGGTTGAGGATATTTGCATCAATGTTCGTCAAGGATATTGGCCTGAAGTTATATTTTTCGTGTATGACCCTGCCAGGTTTTGGTATCAGGATGGTGCTTACCTCATAGAATGAATTGGGGAGGAGTCCTTCATCCTCAATTTTTTTTGTAATAATTTCAATAAGAATGGTACTAGATCTTTTTTTGTACATCGGTAGAATTCAGCTGTGAATCCGTGTGGTCCAGGGCTTTTTTTGATTAGTAGGCTATTTATTACTGATTCATTTTGGATCTCATTATTGGTCTGTTCAGGGATTCAATTTTTTCCTGCTTCAATTTTTGGAAGGTGTATGTGTCCAGGAATTTATCCATTTCTTCTTGATTTTCTAGTATGTGTGCATAGGGGTTTTCATAATAGTCTCTGATAGTTATTTGTATTTCTCTGGAGTCAGTGGTAAGATCTTTGGCATTTCTGATTGTGTTTATTTTAATCTTCTTCATTTTCTTTTTCATTAGTCTAACAGCCTATCTATCTTATTAATTTTTTCAAAACATCAGTTCCTGGCTCTGTTCGTCTTTTGAATGGCTTTTAATTTCTCCATTTCTTTCACTTCAGCTCTAATTTGGGTTATTTCTTGTCTTCTGCTAGCTTTTGGATTGCTTTGCTCTTGCCTCTCTAGTTCTTTTCGCTGTGATGTTAGACTGTTAACTTGAGATCTGTTTCACTTTTCAATGTCGGTATTTAGTGCTATAAATTTCCCTCTTAACACTGCATTAGCTGTGTCTTAGAGATTCTGGTATGTTGTATATTTGTTCTCATTCACTTCAAAGAAGTTCTTGATTCCTGCCTCAATTTTATTATCTACCCAAAAGTCATACAGAAGTGAGTTGTTTAATTTTTATGTAAATATATGGTTATGAGCTATTTTGTTCATATTGAATTCTACTTTTACTGTGCTGTGGTCTGAGGGTCTGGATTTTTTTAAAAATTTGCTGAGGATTGTTTAATGTCTGATTTTGTGGTCTATTTTAGAGTATGTGCCATGTACAGATGAGAAGAATGTACATTCTGTTGCTTTTCAGTGGATAATTCTATAGATGTCTTAGATCTTAGATGTATAGATCCACTTAGTCCTGTTTTGAGTTAATATCTTTGTTAATTTTCTGCCTCAGTGATCTGTCTAATATTGTCAGTGGGGTGTCAAAGTCTCTCACTATTATTGTGTGGAAGTCTAAGTCTCTTTGAATGTCTCTAAGAACTTGTTTATGGGCCGGGCGTGGTGGCTCACGCCTGTAATCCCAACACTTTGGGAGGCCGAAGGGGGTGAATCACCTCAGGCCAAGAGTTCGAGACCAGCCTGGTCAACATGGTGAAACCCCGTCTCCACTAAAAATACAAAAATTAGCTGGGCTTGGTGGCCGCCTCCTGTAATCTCAGCTACTTGGGAGGCTGGGGCAGGAGAATCACTTGAACCTGGGAGGCGGAGGTGGCAATGAGTAGAGATTGCACCACTGCACTCCCCCTGGGTGACAAGAGCAAGACTCTGTCTCAAAAAAAAAAAAAAATAGAATCTGGGTGCTCCTGTGTTGGGTGCATATATGTTTAGGACAGTTAGCTTTTCTTGTTGAATTGAACCCTTTATCATTATGTAATGCCCTTCTTTGTCTTTTAAAATTTTTGTTGACTTAAAGTCTGTTTTGTCTGAAATCAGGATTGCAACCCCTGCTTTTTTTCTGTTTGCCTTTTGCTTGGTAGATTTTTCTTTGTCATCTTATTTTGAGCCTATGGTTGTCATTGCGTGTTACATGGGTCTCATGAAGATACCCTTGGGTCTTGGTTCTTTATCCAGCTTGCCACTCTGTGCCTTTTAATTGGGGCATTTAGCCCATTTACATTCAATGTTAGTAGTGATATTATGGATTTGATCTTGTCATTGTGCTGTTAGTTGTTCATTATGCCGACTTGTTTGTAGGATTCTTTCTAATGAGGTTCAAGGGCAGTCTTTCTCTGATATCATTTCCAGAATACCCAGTCTCCAAGGTTCTAGATTTTGGGAGGTCTGGTTTTCATCAGTTCGTGGGCCACAAAAAGCTTTGTTTACTTAATGAAAATACTCTCTGGCATAATGCATCCGTAATACCTTATAATTTGCCCAGTAAAATGTTTTTTTGTTTGTTTTTTTTTGTTTTTTTTTTTTTTTTTGAGACGGAGTCTCGTTCTGTCTCCCAGGCTGGAGTACAGTGGCATGATCTTGGCTCACTGCAAGCTCTGCCTCCTGGATTCACACCAGTCTCCTGCCTCAGCCTCCCAAGTAGCTGGGACTACAGGCGCCCGCCACCACGCCCGGCTAATTTTTTTTCTTGTATTTTTAGTAGAGATGGGGTTTCCCCGTGTTCGCCAGGATGGTCTCAATCTCCTGACCTTGTGATCCACCCACCTCGGCCTCCCAAAGTGCTGGGATTACAGGTGTGAGCCACCACGCCCAGCCTAAAATGTGTTTTTCTGTCACTGAAATTTTCTCCAGGGATTCCCCGTAAAGGGAAGGAAACATACCTTCTAAAAGCTTTCCAGTCACTTTCACAGCATCAGTGCTCCTACATGTAAAAGCTTCTGTCTAACCAAAAAACATTCAGACCATTTCAAGTATATACATACATAGTTTAATATTTATTTACTATTAAATTAAATAAAGATGAAGGTGGCAACTGAATAAAGTCTATCAGTAGATATTCAAATTACCCTTCAGGTTGTGGAAATGCACCACCTGAAGTTTTTATTTTCTTCCAAGGATTTTGCATTTCGAAAACCAGACATTGATTACAAACTATTGTAACTATTTTAAAACAGTTACTTCACCAATTATTTTTTCAATTTGGATCAGCTTGCCCATTCCATGATGAGTTGTGGAGTGCAAGGCTTTTTAAAATTATTAAAGTGGTGAATTACTTCAATTGATTTTCTAATGACATACCAGTCTTATGTTCCTCAATTAAATCTAACTTGCTGGATTCACTTTGCTATTATTTTATTTAAATATTTTGCCTACAGTGCTCATTATCTGGATGATGGGGTCATTTGTACCCCAGACCTCAGCAATTAGGCAGTGCACTCAGGAAACTAACCTGCATATGCACCCACAAATACAAACGGTAAAAAAACGGTCTATATATGCATGAATGATATTGGCTAGTACATTTTTCTCACATTATTTTTCTCAGGTTTTAGAATCATAGTTATGCAAGTGTTATATATTATGAAAAACTTCAGGTATTATGGTAGTACTGGCTTCACTGAAAGTTCAGGAGAACTTACAAAGCTGATAGACCTCGGATTTGGGAGTGGACGATTTTTGACTTCTCATTCAATTTAATGAAAGTTATACAACTACTCATAAGCTGTGGCTCTTTGTGAGTCCGTTTGATAAGCTATAGTTTTCAAGGAGTTGTCCATAGCATATGAAGTATCAAAATTTGTTGATGTAATACAGTTAAAAATAAGTTTTATTATCTTTACAAGGTCTACAGCATCATATTTAGGTGCCAATTTTTATTACTAGTATTGTTTATGCCTTCACTTTTTTCATCCTAATCATCTTGCCAAAGGCATATCAACTTTTGGCCGGGCATGGTGGCTCACACCTGTAATCCCAGCACTTTTGGAGGCCAAGGCAGCTGGATCATTTGAGGCCAAGAGTTAGAGACCAGCCTGGCCAACATGATGAAACCCCATCTCTCCTAAAAATTCAAAAACTAGTCAGCTGTGGTGGCACTTGCCTGTAATCCAAGCTACTAGGGAGGCTTAGGCACAACAAACACTTAAACCTGGGAGACAGAGGTTCCAGTGAGCCAAGATAGCACCATTACACTCTAGCCTGGGTGACAGAGGGAGACTCCGTCTCAAAAAAAAAAAAAATGACATAACAATTTTATTAATCTTTGCAAATAATAAATGCTTGGTTTAGCTGATACATTGTATTGCATTTCTATTTTATTAATTTCTACTGTAGTCCTTCTATTTTTCTTCCACATCCTAGATTTATTTTTTATTTTTAAATATTTTTTATTTCTTTTTATTTCCAACTTTCATTCAAGGTTCAGGGATTATGTGAGATGGCCAGACACATGTAAACTTAGAGAAATGGGGCCTTGGTGGGCAGATTATTTCACCATCCAGGCAATAAGCATCATACCTGATAGGTAGTTTTTTGATCCTCAACATCCTCCCACACCCCATGCTGAAGGAGGCCCAGGTGTCTTGTTCTCTTCCTTGTGTCCAGGTGCAGTCAGTGTTTAGCTCTCACTTATAAGGGAGAAGGTGTGATATTTAGTTTTCTGTTTTTGCATTGATGTTCTTAAGATAATGACCTCCAGCTCCATCCATGTTGTTGCCAAGGACATTATCTCATTTGTGTTCTGACAGTGTGGTATTCTGTGGGGCATATGTACCACATTTTCGTTAGTCCAATATTGATGGGCATTTAGGTTGATTCCATGTTTCTTCTATTGTTAATAGTGCTGCAAATGAAACTATGTGTGCATCTGTCTTTATGGTAGAACAATTTATATTCCTTTGGATATATACCCCAAAATAGGATTGCTGGGTAGAATGGTAGTTCTTTTGTATGTTCCTTGAAAAATCTCCAAACTTCTTTCCACAGTGTATGAACTAATTTACATTCCCACTTGCAGTGTATAAGTACTCTGTTTTCTGTGAAACCTCAACAGCATTTGTTATATTTTGACTTTTTAATAATAGCCATTCTGAGTGGTGTGAGATGGTATCTCATTGTGGTTTCAATTTGCATTTCTTTGGTTTTGATTTGCATTTATTTTATAATCAGTGATGTTTACTTCTTTTATATGCTTGTGGACCACGTGTATGTCTTCTTTTAAGAAGTGTCTGTTCATGTCATTTGCCCATTTTTAATAACTTTTTTTTTGTTTTTTGCTTGTTAATTTGTTTAGGTTCCTTATAGATTTGAGATGGTAGACCTTTGTCAGATGCATGGTTTGAAAAAATTTTCTCCTATTCTTTAGCTTGTCTGTTTATTACTCTATTGATAGTTTATTTTGCAGTGCAGAAACTGTTTAGTTTAATTAGGAATGATTGATCAATTTTTGTTTTTGTTACAATTGCTTTTGGAGTCTTTGTGATGAAATCTTTGCCAAGGCCTATATCCAGAATGGTATTTCCTACGATTTCTTCTAGGGTTTGTATAGGTTTGGGTTTTACATTTAATTCTTTCATTCATTTTGAGTTGATTTTTGAATTAATGTTAGGGAAAGGAAGGGGTCTAGTTTCAGTCTTCTGCATATGACTAGCCAGATATGCCAGTGCCATTTATTTTATAGGCAGTCCTTTTCCCATTGCTTGCATTTGGAGACTTTGTCAAAGATTAGGTGGTTGTAGGTGTGTGGCTTTATTTCTGGGTTCATTAACCTGTTCCATTATTCTGAGTGTCTGTTTTTGTACCAGTACCATGGTTTTTTGCTTAGCGTAGCCTTGTAGTATAGTTTTAAGTCAGGTAATGTGATGCCTTCTGGTTTGTTATTTTGGCTTAAGATTGCTTTGGCTATTCAGGCTCTATTCATTCCATATAAATTTTAAAATAGATTTCTCCGCTTCTGTTAAACATGCCATTGGTAGCTTGAAAGGAATAACATTTCTGTAATTTGCTTTGAGCAGTATGTCCATTTTAACAATATTCATTCTTCCTATCCATGAGCATGGAATGTTTTCCACTTGTGTCATCTCTGATTTCTTTCAGAAGTGTTTTGTAATTTTCATTGTGGATGTCATTCACCTCCCTGGTTAGATCTATTCCAGGGTGTTTTATTTTGTTGCCGCTCTTGTGAATGGGACCGTGTTCTTGATTTAGATCTCAGCTTGGCTATTGTTGATGTATAGAAATGCAACTGATATTTGCACATTGATTTTGTGTGCTACAAGTCTACTGAAGTTGTTTATCACTTCCAGAGGCTTTTGGGCGGAGACTATAGGGTTTTCTATGTATAAAGTCATATCATCTGTGAAGAGAGATAGTTTGTCTTCTCTTCCTATTTGGATGTATTTTATTTTTTTCTCTTGCCTGATTGCTCTGGGTAAGGCTTTTAGAACAATGTTGAATACGAGTGGTGAGAGTGGGCATCCATGTCTTGTGCCAGTTTTCCAGGGGAATGCTTCTAGTTTTTGACTGCTCAGTACGATATTGGATATGGGATTTTCATAGATGACTCACTATTTTGAGGTATTGTCCCTCAGTGCCTAGTTGAGGGTTTTTAACATGAAAGGATGTTGACTTCCATCTAAATCTTTTCTTTGTCTATTGAGATGATCATGCGATTTTAGTTTTTAGTTCTGTTTATTTGATGACTCAGATTTATTGATCTGCATATATTTAACCAGGCTTGTATCCTAGACATAAAGCCTACTTGATCATGGTGGATTAGCTTTTTGATGTGCTGCTGAATTTTTTCTGCTTGTATTTTCCTGAGGATTTTTGATGTATGTTCATCAGGGATATTGGCCTGAAGTGTTCTTTTTTTGTTTTGTCTTTGCCAGTTATTGGCATCAGGATGATGCTGGCCTTATACAATGAGTTAGGGTGAAGTCTGTCTTCCTCAATTTGTTGTAATAGTTTTCATACGATCGGTTCCAGCTGTTCTTTATGTCTGGCAGAATTCAGCTGTGAATTCATCTGACCAGGGCTTTTTCTGATTGATAGGCTTTTTATTAGTGATTCAATTTTGGAAATTATTACTCTATTTAGAGTTCAATTTCTTCCTGTTTCAATCTTGGGAGGCTGTATGTTTCCAGGAATGTATGCATTTCTTCTTGGTTTTCTACTTGGGTACATAGAGGTGTTCAAAATAGTCTCTGAGGGTTTTCTGTATTTCTGTGAGGTCAGTGGTAATGTCCTCTTTGTTATTTCTGATTGTGTTTATTTCAGTCTTCTCTGTCTTTTTCTTTATTAGTCTAGCTATGGTCTATTAATATTGTTTATTTTTCATAGAACCAATTTATGGTTTCATTGACCTTTCGTATATTTTTTTGCATCCTAGTTTTCTTCAGCTTAGCTCTGATTTTGCTTATTGCTTCTCTTCTGCTAGTTTTGGTATTTGTTTGCACTGGTTTTTTAGTTACCCTAGGTGTGATATTAGATTGTTAATTTGAAGTCTTTCTAACTTTTTGATATGGGCATTTAGTACTAAATACTTTCCTGTTAAATCTGCTTTAGTTGTGTCCTAGATATTCTGGTATGTTTTTATCTGTTTTTCAATAATTTCACTAATTTCAAGTAACACTTGATTTCTGCCTGAATTTTAATTTTTACCCAAAACTCATTCAGAAGCAGGTTAATTTCTATGTAATTGTATGGTTTTGAGAGATCTTCTTATAGTATTTATTTCTGTTTTTATTGCACTGTGTTCAAAGAGTGTGGTTGGTATGATTTTACATTCTTTCAATTTGTTGAGAATTGTTTTATTCTTGATTGTGTGGTCAAATTTGAAGTATATGCCACATGCAGATGAAAATGTATATCCTCTTTTTTTTTGGCTTTTTACGAATTTCAACTTTTATTCTGGATATAAGGGATACATGTGCAGGTTTGTTACATGGGCATATTGTACTCAGGTAGTAAGCATGGTACCCAATTGGTAGTTTTCTAACCTATGACCCCCTCTTTCCCTCTCCCCTCTAGTAGTACACAGTGTCTATTGTTCCCACGTTTGCGTCCATGTGTGCTCAATGTTTAGCTCCCACTTATGAATGAGAATGCACAGTATTTTGGTTTCCTGTTCCTGCATTAATTCATTTAGGATGGCCTCCAGTTCCATCCATGTTCCTGCAAAGGACATGACTGCATTCATTTTTTTATTGCTGAATAGGATTCCATGATGTATATATATCACATTTTCTTTACCCAGTCCACCATTGATGGGCACCTTACTTGATTTCATCTCATTGCTATTGTGAACAGTGTGGTGATTAACATATGACTGCATGTGTCTTTTTGGTATAATGATATATTTTCCTTTGAGTATATACCCAGTAATGGGATTGCTGAGCCAAATAGTAGTTCTGTTTTAAGTTATTTGAGAAATCTCCAAACTGGTTTCCACAGTGCCTGAACTCATTTGCATTCCAAACCACAGTGTATAATTGTACCCTTTTCTCCACAGCCTTGCCAGAATCTGTTGTTTTGACTTTTCAATAATAGCTATTCTGACAGGTGAGAGATGGTATCTCATTGCGATTTTAATTTGCATTTCTCTAATGATTAGCAATGTTGAGCATCTTTTATATATTTGTTGGCTGTGTGTATGACTTCTTTGTGTGTGTGTGTGTTTAACTCATTCATTTATTCAACAAATGAGATTTTGTTGCACCCATCACAAGAGCAGTATATAGTGCACCCAATTTGTGGTCTTTTATCCCTCACTCCCTTCCCTTCCTTTCCTCCTGAATCCCCAAGGTCCATTGTGTTTTTCTTATGCCTTTGCATCCTCATAGCTTAGCTCCCACATATGAGTGACAATATATGATGTTTGCTTTTCATTCCTGAGTTACTTCACTTAGAATAATGTTCTCCAATCACATCCAGGTGGCTGTGAATGCCATTAATTCATTCCTTTTTATGGCTGAGTAGTATTCCATCTTATACCACAGTTTCTCCATCCACTTGCTGATTGATAGGAACTTGGGTTGGTTCCACATTTTTGCAATTGTGAATTGTGCTGCTATAAACATGCCTGTGCAAGTATCTTTTACATATAGTGACTCAGGGTAGATACCCAGTAGTGGGATTTCTGGGTCAAATGGTAGTTCTACTTTTAGTTCTTTACGGAATATCCACACTGATTTCCATAGTGGTTGTACTAGTTTACATTCCCACCAGCAGTGTTAGAAGTGTTGCCCGTTCACCGCATCCACACCAACATCTATTAGTTTTTCATTTTTTGATTATGGCCATTCTTGCAAGAGTAAGGTGGTATCGCATTGTGGCCTTGATTTGCATTTTCCTGATCATTAGTGATACTGAGCATTTTTTCATATGTTTGTGGGCCATTTGTGTATCCCCTTTTGAGAATGGTCTACTCATGTTCTTATGAATTTTCTGTCTTTTTGGTTAATTATTTGCTATTTATCAATTTATTTGTCTTATTTGCTAATTATTTATCTGTCTTATTTGCTAATTATTTGCTAATCAATTATCTGTCTTATTTGCTAATTATTTATCAATTTATCTTTTCAAAGAACCAGCTTTTTGTTTCATTTATCTTTTGTATTTTTTGTTTGTTTGTTTGTTTCAATTTCATTTAGTTCTGCTCTGATCTTGGTTATCTCCTTTCTTCTGCTGGGTTTGCATTTGGTTTGTTCTTATTTCTCTAGTTCCCTGAAGTGTTACTCTAGATTGTCTGTTTGTGCTTTTTCAGACTTTTTGATGTAGGCATTTAGGGCTATGAGCTTTCCTCTTAGCACCGCCTTTGCTGTATCCCCTGGGTTTTGATAGGTTGTGTCACTATTGTCAATCAGTTCAAAGAATTTTTTAATATCTATCTTGATTTCATTGTTGAGTCAATGATCATTGAGGAGCAGGTTATTTAATTTCCATGTATTTGCATGGTTTTGAAGGTTTTTTTGGAGTTGATTTCCAGTTTTTTTCCACTGTGGTCTGAGTGGGTGCTTGATATAATTTCAATTTTCTTGAATTTATCAAGGCTCATTTTGTGGCATATCATATGGTCTATCTTGGAGAAAGTTTCATGTGCTGTTAAATAGAATGTATATTATGCAGTTGTTGGGTAGAATTTTCAGTAAATATCTGTTAAGTCCATTTGCGCCAGGGTATAGTTTAAATCCATTGTTTCTTTGTTGACTTTCTGTCTTGGTGACGTGTCTAGTGCTGTCAGTGGAGTATTGAAGTTCCCCACTATTATTGTGTTGCTTTCTATCTCATTTCTTAGGTCTATTTGTAATTGTTTTATAAACAGCTGTTTTACAAACAGCTCCAGTGTTAGGTGCCTGTAATATTTAGGATTGTGATATTTTCCTGTTGGGCAAAGTCTTTTATCATTATATAGTGCCCCTCTTTGTCTTTTTCAACTGCTGTTGCTTTAAAGTTTCTTTTGTGATATAAGAATAGCTACCCCTAGCTGGGTGTGGTGACTCACACCTGTAATCCCAGCACTTTGGGAGGCCAAGGTGGGCGAATCACGAGGTCAAGAGATCGAGACCATCCTGACCAACATGGTAAAGCCCTGTCTCTACTAAAAATACAAAAATTAGCTGGGTGTGGTACTGCACACCTGGAGTCCCAGCTACTCGGGAGGCTAAGTCAGGAGAATCATTTGAACCTGGAAGGCAGAGGTTGCAGTGACCCAAGATCATGCCAGTGCACTCCAGCTTGGTGACAGAGCAAGACGCCGTCTAAAAAACAAACAAACAAACAAACAAAAAACCCAAAAACCCTGCTCACCTTTGGTGTCCATTTGTTTGCATAGAATGTCTTTTTCCATCCGTTTACCTTAAGTTTAAGTGAGCCCTTATGTGTTAGGTGTGTCTCTTGAAGGCAGCAGATGGTTGGTTGGTGACTTATTATCCATTCTGCAATGCTGTATCTTTTAAGTTGAGCATTTAGGCCATTTACATTCAACGTTAATATTGAGATGTGAGGTACCATTCCATTCATCATGCTATTTGTTCTGTGTATACCATGGCTTTTTTTTTTTGTATTTTTGTTTTGTAAGTCTTGTAAGATTTATGTTTAAAGAGGTTCTGTTTTGATATGCTTCCAGGATTTGTTTCAAGACTTAGAGCTCCTTTTAGCAGTTCTTGTAGTGCTGGCTTTCTGGTGGCAAATTCTCTCAGCATTTGTTTGTCTGAAAAAGACTGTATCTTTCCTTCACTTATGAAGCTTAGTTTCACCGGGTACAAAATTTTAGGCTGATAATTGTTTTGTTTGAGGAAGCTAAAGATAGGGCCCTGATCCCTTCTAGCTTGCAGGGTTTCTGCTGAGAAATATGCTATTAATATGATAGGTTTTCCTTTATAGGTTACCTGATGTTTTTGACTCACAGCTCTTAAGATTCTTCCCTTCATCTTAACTTTAGATAACCTGATGACAATGTGCCTAGGCAATGATCTTTTTGCAATGAATTTCCCAGGTGTTCTTTGAGTTTCTTGTATTTGAATGTCTAGGTCTCTAGAAAGGCCAGGGAAGTTTGATTATTCCCTCAAATATATTTTCCAAACTTTTAAATATCTCTTCTTCCTCAGGAACACCAATTATTCTTAGGTTTGGTCACTTAATATAATCTCAGACTTCTTAGATGCTTTGTTCATATTTTCTCAACCTTTTTTCTTTGTCTTTGTTGGATTGTGTTAATTTAAAAATCTTGTCCTTGAGCTCTGAGGTTCTTTCTTCTCCTTGTTTTATTCTATTGTTGAGTCTTTCCAGAGCATTTTGCATTTCTATAGGTGTATCCATTGTTTCTTGAAGTTTTTATTGTTTCTTATTCATGCTATCTATTTCATTGAATATTTCTCCCTTCACTTCTTGTACCATATTTTTTTCCTTACATTGGGCTTCCCCTTTCTCTGGTGCCTCTCTGATTAGCTTAATAACTAAACTTCTGAATTCTTTTTCAGGTAGATCAGATATTTCTTCTTGGTTTGGATCCATTGCTGGAGAGCTAGTGTAATTTTTTGGGGGGTGTTAAAGAACCTTGTTTTGTCATATGACCAGAGTTGGTTTTCTGGTTTCTTATCATTTATGTAGGCTCTGTCAGAGGGAAAGTCTAGGGTTCAAGGCTGTTGTTCAGTTCCTTTTGTCCCACCAGGTATTTCCTTGATGTAGTACTCTCCCGCTTTTCCTAGGGATGTGGCTCCCTGAGAGCTGAGTTGTAGTGATTGTTATCTCTCTTCTGGATGTAGCCACGAAGCAATTCTACCAGGCTCCAGGCTGGTACTGGAGGTTGCCTACACAGAGTCCTGTGATGGGAACTGTCAGTGGGTCTCTCAGCTGTGGATACCGGCACCTGCTTGGGTGGAGGTGGCAGGGGGGTGAAATGGACTCTGCGGGGATCCTTAGCTTTGGTTGATTAATGCACTGTTTTTGTGCTGGTTGGCCCCTGCCTGGAGGTGGCACTTTCAAGAGGGCATCAGCTGTGGTAGTATGCAGAGGAACAGATGGTGGGTGGGGCCCTATAACTCCCAAGAGTATATGCTCTGTCTTCAGTTACCAGGGTGGGTAGGAAAAGACCAATAGGTGGGTGCAGAGCTAGGCATGTCTGAGCTCAGAAGCTACTTGGGCTGGTCTTGTTGCAGCTGCTGTGTGGGTTGGGGGTGAGGTTCCCATGTCAATGGAATTATGTTCCTAGGAGGATTATGGTTGCCTTTGCTGTGTCATGCAGGTTGTCAGGAAAGTGGGGGAAAGCCGGTAGTCACAGGCCTCAGCCAGCTCTCACACAACCCAAAGGGCCAGTCTCACTCCTACTGTGCCCCACCCAACAGCACCAAGTCTGTTTCCAGGCAGCGAGCAAGCAGGACTGAGAACTTGCGCCAGACTACCCTAGCCTTCCAGTTGTGAAAATAAGTAGCGTTTTCCTTCTTCCCCTGCCTGTGGAGTCTGCACACCAGATTCACGCCCTCCCACAAGTTCTGGCCAGGAGACTTCTCTATCGGTTCAAATTGTTAACAACGTTCAGCTGGAGGTTTCTTTCTCCCCGGTTCAAATTGTTAACAACGTTCAGCTGGAGGTTTCTTTCTCCCCGTGGCCTTTTCCCAGTGCCTCTGGCAGCCCTCCTCGAGGATCCCTGTGAGGCAAGGGAGAAATGGCTTGGTAGGGGACCCAGCGAGCCCACAGGGATTTTCCTGCTGCTTCCTCTACCCCTCTATTTCACTCTGCTCTCTAGTTCGACTCAACTCCAGGTAAGGTCAAAATCTTCTCCTGTAATCTAGACCTTCAGGTTCCCTAGTGGGAGGGGTATGTTATGGGGTGGATGATTTCCCTTTCCCACTTCTACAGTTTGGGCACTCACTTTATTTGGGTTGTCTCCTGGGTCCTGCAGGGAGCAATCTGCTTCCTTCAGAGGGTGTCTGGGTTCTCTTGGCTTTCCTAAAGTATTCCTGAAGCTGTTGTGGAGCAAAAGTTCACAGTGCGGGCCTCATCAAGCTGTCCTGTCTGTCCAAGCGGGAGCTGCAATCTAGTCCTGCCTCCCGTCCACCAGGATATCGAGAATGTATTTTCTGTTTTTGTTGGGTGGAGTGTTCTGTAGATGGCTGTTAGGTCCATTTGGTGAAGTGTTTAATTTTAGTCATTAATATCTGTGTTAGTTTTCTGCCTCAGGGATCTGTCTAATACTGTCAATGTGTTGTTGAAGTCTCCAACTAGTATTGTGTGGTTATCTCAGTTTCTTCATTGGTCTGTAAGAACTTGTTTTATGAATCTTGGTGCTCCAGTGTTGGGTGCATATATATTTAGGATAGTTAAGTCTTCTTATTGAATTGAATCCTTTATCATTATGTAATGCCTTTCTTTGTCTCTTTTGATCAGTGTTGGTTTAAAGTCTGTTGTGTCTGAAATTTGAATAACAACCTCTGCTCCTTTTTGGTTTCCATTTTCTTGGTAGGTTTTTCTCTGTCCCTTTACTATGAGTCTGCACGTGTCATTGCATAGAGTTGAGCCTCTTGATTACAGTATAGAGCTGGGTCTTGCTCTTTTATCTAATTTGTCACTCTGTACCTTTTAAATGGTGTGTTTAACTCATGTTCATTGGAGATTAATATTGATATGTGTAGATTTGATCCTGACATTATGTTGTTAGCTGGTTGTTTTGCAGACTGATTGTGTAGTTGCTATATTGTATCAATTATCTTTGTACTTACATGTGTTCTTGTGGCGGTTGGTAACAGTATTTCATTTCCATGTTTAGCACTCTCTTATGGACCTCATTTAAGGCAAGTCTAGTGGTAATGAATTCCCTAAGCATTTGCTTATCTTAAAAGGATCTTATTTCTCCTTTGCTTATGAAGCTTAGTTTGGCTGGATATGAAATTATTGGAATTTATTTTCTTTAACAATGCTGAATTGTTAAAGCCCCCTAATCTTTTCTGGCTTGTAGGGTTTCTGCTGAGAGATCCAATATTATCCTGATAGGGTTCCCTTTGTAGGTGACCTGCAATATCTCTCTAGATGTTTTTAATATTTTTTTCTTTCATCTTGACCTTGGAGAATCTGATGAATATGTATCTTGGGTATGTTCATTTTTTTTGTAGTATCTCTCAGCAGTTGTCTGCATTTTCTGAATTTGAATGTCAACCTGTCTAGCTAGGTTGGGAAAATTTTCATGGACAATATCCTTAAATATGTTTTTCATGTTGCTTGCTCTCATTCCCTCTCTTTCTGGGACACCAGTGAGTCATAGTTTTGGTCTCTGTACATAATCTCATGTCTTTTAGAGGCTTTGTTCATTACTTTGTATTCTTTGGCTGATTGAGTTGATTCACAGAACCAGTATTTGAGCTCCGAAGTTCTTTCCTCAGCTTGGTCTATTCTACTGTTAATACTTCTGATTGTATTATAAAATTCTTGTAGTGAGTTTTTGAGCCCTATCAGATCAGTTTGGTGCTTTCTTAAAATGGTTCTTTTGTCTTTCATCTCTTGTATTGTTTTCTTGGATTCCATGGATTGGATTGAGACTTTTTCCTGAATCTCAATGATTTTCATTTCTATCCAGATTCTGAATTCTACATCCGTCATTTCAGCCAATTTAACCTGGTTAAGAACCATTGCTGAGGTGCTAGTATGATCATTTAGAGATAAGAAGACACTGTGGCTTTTTGAGTTGCCGCAGTTCTTAGGCTGTTTTTTTTTTTTTTTTTTCATTGGCATGGCCTGATATTCCTTTAATTTTTGAAGTTGCTCTATTTTCAATGGATTATTTTGCTTTTATATTATTTGATGCTCTTGAGGGTTTGACTGTGGTTTGAGTTGGGTTGAGTAGACTATCTTTACTTCTGGAAGATTTTACTGGGCCAAGGCTCAGCTCAACAATCCTGGGCTACATGCTCTAATCATGGTGGGGCTGGTACCAGGCCCACAGCTTTGTTATCTGGCCTCTCAATATTAAGCACCTGCTGCAATTGAGGAGCCAAGGTGTTTCTGGTACGCTGGTCACAACACCTTGGTGGGGGTAATCGCCAAAGTGCTGCTTCACAGTGGTGGCAGCAGAGACCACACTCGTGTGCATGCCAGTGGTGGCAGTGACACTGCCTCTGTGCTTTTAAAAGTGGAGGCTTTAAAGTCTTGAGGATATCCTGGCAACTGTCATGCCCCCTGATGAATCTACACTTAGCTTTGAATTTACATCCTTTTAGATATCACTATTACTTTTTCTAACCATGTGCATTGCACTATTTATTAAATACATCATAATAAGAAAGTCGACTTGGACTAATCTTATAGAGTTCATTCAAATTACATATCTTACAAATTTCAATACAGGTTGGCTTAGGATAAAAACCTGCATTTCCTTGGTATTCATTTTATTCTTGTTCTGCTTTGTGCTGTGTTAGCAGTTTTATGGAGCCAATCAATTTCTTCATTAGAGTTCTGAGAACTCCCACCTAGTCCAATGGTATGATGGATTTCTAGAAATTTTATTATTAGTATATTTTTGATATCAATACTGATTTTCTTAGGAATATTTATAAATAATGTCCTTGTAATCTTAGCCAACTTGATTACACATAAAGTTGCTTTCACAAGATTAATCTTCCACAAACCTAGAACTTTCATATCCATTCACTTTTGTCCTTCTCCCATTCTGGAACAATCCAGTAACTCTACTTTAGGAAAAGACTTTCTCTCTTCTTTCCCTCAACAAAACAAAATAGAACATCCTCACACTGTGTGATGCTGTCACACCAGCAATCTTTAAATTGGCAATTAAGAATAATAATTTCTAAAAGTATGTGCTTTCCCATAGTACAATTTGTTAATCAGAGCATGTAACGGTGTGAGTCGTAATTATAGGATTAGAGAATGCTTCCCCTTCCTAACACATCAACTGGGCTAATGTATAATAATAGATTACACATGAAAGAACTACATGTCTCTGAAACTATTTAATAAAAAGTTTATAAGGAAACTGAAAGATAACAAAGGAGGCAAAACAAAGACAAAAGAGGAAATTGTGGCCTCACACACATATAGCTACAGAAAACAATAAACTAAACCTAACTCATAGTCAGATAAATATAAAATTTTACACTAAAGATCTGTTTACTTTAGATCCTGTTAAACAATACACAGTGTTTGACTTTTACCAAATGATTACAAGAAATACTAAAGGTAAGAAGAAGAAGTGATTGAAGAGACAAAGGAAACATTAAAACAGAACCAGATATCACACAGATTTGGGGATTATCTGATAGAGAATTTAATTATCTCTATTCTGATTATTTGATATTATCAAATAATCTGATAATCTGATTATCTGATATGTTAAGGGCTCTAGTGGAAAAAGCAGACAACGTGTGAGAACAGATGGTTAATGTAAGCAGAGAGAATTGAAACTATAATAAAGAATCAAAGTAAAATACTAGAAATCAAAACCACTCCAATAAAAATAATGTATTTGATGGGATCACCAGTAGATTGGATACAGCCAATAAAATAATCAGTGAGTTGAAAATATGTCAATATAAACTTTCTAAACTGAAATGCAAATAGAAATAATACTCAAAACAAAAAAGTATACACAAAATATTCATGAACTGTGGGACAATTCAAATAGTATAACGTATTTATATTGGAAATACCATAAAAAGAGATAGAGAAGGATTTAAAGTACTTATGCCTGAGAAGTTTTAATAAGCAATGACAAACCACAATGCTCAGGTAAGCCACAGATTCAGGAAACTTAGAGGAGACCAACAAGATAAATACTAAAAATGTACAATTAGGCATATTATATTTAAATGGCAGAAAGTCAAAAACAAGTAAAAAAATCTTGAAAGAAATCAGGTGCTATGATCTGAGTATTTGTGTACCCCCTCCCAAAATTGGTATGTTGAAACTTAACCACCAACATGATAGTGTTATGAGGTGAGACTGTAGATGATTAGGTCATAAGGGTAGAGACCCCATGGACTATGGAACTTATAAAATAGGCCCAAAGAGACCATTTTTTCCCTTCTACCATGTGAGAACGTAGCAAGAAGTTGCCATCTGTGAACCAGAAAGTAGGCTCTCACCAAACACTGAATCTGATGGCCCCTTTGATATTGGGATTCCCAGGATCCAGAACTACAAAAAATAAATTTCTGTTGTTTATAAGCCACTCAGTATTTTCTAATTCCAGACTGAACAGACTAGGCCACTAGAAATGGGGACTTTGCCTACAGATGAACAAAAATGTTTAAAGAAGTTTTTCGTAAAGAAAAAATATAATAAGGTCCAAAACTCAGATCTATGTTTAAAAAGAGCATTAGAAAAGGAATAAATGAAAGTAAATTATTCCTAATGGATATAATAGAAAATCATTTGTCAAAATAATAGCAACAATTCAGTGATTATAACTCCTGGATAAATGAAATAAATGACAGCAATATGATAAGTGACAGGTTGGAGGGAGGAATTTAAATACTCTTATAAGGAACTTGCACTACTCGTGAATTGGTGTGTTATATGAAAGTAGACTTGGATTAGTTGTAAATGTATATTGCAAACTATAGGGCAAATAATAAAAATAAATGAGGAAGTACAATGAGTATACTAATACGGGAGAAAAAAAATGAAATCAGCTAAGTATATAGTTGAACTGAACAGTGCCATTGTATGAATCAGAGTTCTCTAGAGAAACAACACATATATGTATATATGTACACACACAAAATCATGTGCTGTATAATGACATTTTGGTCAATGACAGATAACAGATCACACACATATATGACAGTGGTCCTATAAGATTGTAATGGAGCTAAAAAATTCCTATCACCTCATGTCCTCATATTCATTGTAATGAAGTAGTGCAACACTAACTCACGTGTTTGTGATAATGCTGGCGTAAACAAACCTAATGCGTTGCCAATTATATAATATAAAAGTATAGCACATACAATTATGTGTAGTATGGTAATATTAATAATAATAAATGAATATGTTACTGGTTTATGTACAGTTGACCCTTGAACAATATGAGGATCAGGGACTCCAGCCTCTCCTTTTCATAGTTGAAAATTTATGTATAACTTTTGACTACCCCCAAACTTAATGACTAATAGCTTGCTGTTGACCAGAAGCCTGCTGATAACATAAGCAGTTGATTAGCAAATATTTTTGTTATATGTATTATATGCTATATTCTTAAGACCAGCTAGAGAAAAAAATGTTATTAAGAAAATCATAATGTACTTTTGGAATCTTCACAGAAAAAAAATCATAAAGGAAGAGAAAATATATTTAATATTCATTAAATGGAAGTAGATAATCACAAAAAATTCTCATTGACCTCAAGTTTTGTAAGTTGAGGAGGAGGAGGAAGAGGTCTTGCTGTCTCACGGGTAGCAAAGATAAGGTGGGAGAGATAGAAGAGGCTGAAGGGGAGGCAGGAGAGGCAGGCATGCTCTGTGTAACTTCATGAAAATACATTGTAAATTCTGATTTTTTGTTTTTCAATTGTTTAAAAATATTTCTATATAGTGCCAACCCTTCTTCCATCATCAGATTCAGTGGCAGTATCCATATAAGTGTTCATGTTATTAAAAAAAGGTAAAAGGAGTCTTGAATAATCAGGACCTTCATGCCAGATTGTCTCATGTCAATTTGTATTTTGGCACTGCTTCTCCTGTGTTTTTTCCTCCTCCTCCAGCACTGATTCAGAAGCACTCATCTCTATCAAGTTGTCTTCTGTTTTTTCTTCTGATCTACTAGCTTCTGAATTTCTGCAAGATCTGTATTTTGAAATCCTTCATATACCCCCTCACACACTTTCTTTGGCCATATCCACAATCCCTTTTATGATTTCCTTGATTGGCTCTGCTGTAATGCACAATGTCTGGACACAGTTTTCTCCAGCAGGAATTTGTTGTTTGGGGCTTGATGGCTTTCATGGCTTTTTCTACAACAATGATGGCATCTTCAATGGTGTAATCCTATTAGACTTGCTTGATGCTGTCTCTACTGGGGTCATTTTTCATGGAAATGTCAATCTCTTTCATAGAGTTTCATGTGTAATGAGCCTTAAAGCCTTGTTATCCTTATTATCTCATTATCTAGAGGCTGAATTAGAGATGTGTTTGGCAGCAAGCAGACCATGTTGACACCCACTCAAAGGCTTATGGTGGCTAGGGTCATTTTCCAATATCAAAAGAACTTAAAAAACAGTTCCTTATTGGAAAGATGCTTCTTGACTACAGGGACAAAGCATCAATTGAACTAATCCAGGAAAAAAGATTATTGCCCAGACATTCTTGTTGTACAACCCAGAGAGTGTCAGCTGGTATTTATGTTTTCCGTTTAAGTCTCTGAGGTTAGCAGCTTTATAGATAAGAGCAGTCTTGGTTATAAATCTATCTGCACAAGATAGGAGTTAGCTTATCTCTTCCTGCCTTAAGTCTTTGTACTTGCCTCTTCTCCTTATTAATATGTGTCTTCTCCGGCCTTCCCCTCCCCACAGATTAGGAGACTTTCATTTATAGACAAATATCCTTTCTCCTCAATGATTTTCTCAATGGCATCTGGAACTTATCTGCTGCCTCTTAGTCAGCAGAATCTGCTTCTCCTGTTATCTTGACATTTTTTAAAGCCAACTCTCTTTTCAAAATTATCAAACCATCCTTTGCTAACATTAAATTCTCCCAGATTAGATCTTTCACCTTCTTTTTGCTTTATGTTGTTGTCATATAATGACGTTGCTTTTTCTCAAAATTATATGAGTTTATAGGCATGTCTTTCTTATAGCAATCCTGCAACCACATAAAAATTACATTTTAAATACAAGATTAAAAGATATTTTGCAAAAACTGCAAGATATTTACTACTTATGCCTGCTGGCATATCTGCAGCTACAGATGTATGAATTTCCTTTTTATTTTTTGCAATGGTCCTTATGCTGGATTCATTTATCTTGAAATGGTAGGCAGTTGCAACTGCAGATCTCAATCTGCAGTACATATTAAGGAATTCAACTTATTCTTGTCATGTTATGACTTTTCTCTGCTTCTTAGGAGCACTTCCAGCATCATTAATGCCACTTCATATGGGTCCTATGGTGTTATTCCAGGTTTATGGTATTGTACTAAATATGATGAAAAATAGGCAAGAGCTGCCAGAAACCAATTATTTTACTGCAATACACAGCTTACTGAGGAGAAGAACTGCTCATTTGGAGATGATAAGCATCATAGGGCATTTTAATTGAATGTTGGCAACACTTGAGCTCACTGCAATAGCATCATGAGGTGGTTGTGAAATTTTTATAGTAGTGTACTACAGACTAGAGTTAATGTTACCCAGTTACGATTTAATACTGCATCTTTAGGTTTGTTTACATTTTTCTTGACTGTGAATGGAACATTTCTCTTGATTGCGAATGACAGTATGTATATCTGTGCATAGGTTTTTTTTTTTTTTTTTTTTTTTTTTGAGGCAGGGTCTTGCTGTGTCACCCAGGCTGGAGTGCAGTGGCAAAATTTTGGCTCACTGCAACCTCTGCCTCCCTGGTTCAAGTGATTCTCCCATCCTAGCCTCCCAACTATAGGGACTATAGATGTGCTGGGACTACAGGTGTGCACTACCATGTCCCGCTAATTTTTGTGTTTTTTTGTAGAGACAGGGTTTCACCAAGTTGGGCAGGCTGGTCTTGAACTCCTAACCTCAGGTGATCCACCCAACTCGGCCTCCCAAAGTGCTGGGATTATAGGTGTGAGCCACCGTGCCCAGCCATAAGTTTTGATAAATTTTAACTTTAATATATTTGTTTATATTTTATAGTAGTAAAAAATAAAATAGACTAATATCTACATATATTTTATGCATTTATAGCATACTAAACTTTTTCTTAATTTTTGATATTTCTAGGCCATGCCTTAAAAATTTTTGCCTTAACATTTTTTCAATATATTTACTACAAATGTCTGTGTATAAACGAACCCGCACAGTTTAAACCTATGCTATGCAAGGGTCAAAACTGTATTTACTACAATCTACTTTTAATAATTATATAAGCGTATATTCCTTCTACTTTAAAATAGTAGTTAACTGTAAAATAGCCTCAGGCAGATCCTTCAGAAGGTATCCAGAAGAAGGTATTGTTATCATAGGTTTTGACAGCTCCATGCTTGTTACTGCCCTTAAAGACCTTCCGGTGGGACAGGTTGTGGAAGAGGCAGACAGTGATTTCGACAGATTTTACCCTATGTTGGCCTATGTTAATGTGTGTGTTTGTGCCTTAGTTTATAACTACAAGTTTAAAAATTAAAAGACTAATTGTAAAAATAGAAAAAAAGCTTATACAATAAGAATGTAAAGAAAGAAAATAATTGCTTTAATTTTTAAATTTATTTATTTATTTATTTATTTTTTTTTTTTTTGAGACGGAGTCTCGCTCTGTCGCCCAGGCTGGAGTGCAGTGGCGCGATCTCAGCTCACTGCAAGCTCTGCCTCCTGGGTTCACGCCATTCTCCTGCCTCAGCCTCCCGAGTAGCTGGGACTACAGGCACCCGCCACTATGCCCGGCTAATTTTTTGTATTTTTAGTAGAGACAGGGTTTTACCATGTTAGCCAGGATGGTCTCAATCTCCTGACCTTGTGATCCGCCCGCCTCGGCTTCCCAAAGTGCTGGGATTACAGGCATGAGCCACCACGCCCGGCCTAATTTTTAAAAATTTTTTATGAGTACGTAGTAGGTGTATATATTTATGGGTTACATGAAGTATTTTGATACAGGCATGCAATTCGTATTAATTTCATCAGAGTCAGTAGGGTATTCATTACTTCAAGTATTTGTCCCTCATGTTTAAAACAATCTAATTATAGCCTTTTAATTATTTTAAAATGTACAATTGTATTATCTTTTTACCATAGTCACCTGGGTTGTGTTATCAAATACTAGACCTTTATTCTTTCTATTCATCGTACCCATTAACAATCCTTCCTTCACCCCCACCCCTTCAGATGCCCTTCTAAGCTCCTGATAACCATCCTATTCTATCTCCATGAGTTCAATTCTTTTTAGTTTTACCTGGCACAGATAAGTGAGAAAATGTGATGTTTAGCTGTATGTGCCTGACTGATTTCATTTAACATAATGACCTCCATTTCTATCCGTGTTGTTGAAAACGTGAGGATCTCATTCTTTTTCATGGCTGAATAGTACTCCATTGTATATATGTACCATGTTTTCTTTATCCATTCATCTGTTGATTTATAAGCACTTAGGTTGCCTATAAATGTTGACTATTGTGAACAGTGCTGTAAAAACAAAGGAGTAGAAATATCTCTTTAATATACTAATTTTCTTTATTTTGGGTATATACATAGAATTGGGATTGCTAGATCCTATGGTAGCTATATTTTTAATTTTTTGAGGAATCTTCAAACCGTTTTATATAGTGGTTGTACTAATTTACATTCCCACCAAGAATGTATGAGGGTTCCCTTTTCTCCACATCCTCACCAGGATACTTGTTATTGTGTGTCTTTTGGATAAAACCCACTTTAACTGGGGTAAAATGATATCTCATTGTAGTTTGTGATTTACATTTTTCTGATGATCAACGATGTTGAGCACCTTTTCATATACCTGTTTGTCATTGATATGTCTCCTTTTGAAGTATGTCTATTCAGATCGTCTATTTATTTTTTAATTAGATTATCAGATTTTTTTCTTATAGAGTCGTTTCACCTACTTATATATTCTGGTTATAAGTCCCTTGTCATATGAGTAGTTTGCAAATATTTTCTCTTTCTATGGGTTGTCTCTTCACTTTGTTTATTGTTTCATTTGCTGTGCAGAAGCTCTTTAACTTGAGGTGACCTCATTTGTCTATTTTTGCTTTGGTTGCCTGTGCCTGTGGGTTATTGTTCCAGAAATCTTTGCCCAGTCTAATGTCCAGGAGAATTTCCCTAATATTTTATTTTAGTTGTTTTATAATTTGAGGTCTTAAGTTTATGTCTCAAATTCATTTAGATTTTATTTTTTGTATATGGTGAGAGATAGGGTTCTAGTTTCATTCTTCTGCATATGGATATCCAGTTTTCCCAGCACCACTTATTGAAGAGACTGTCCTTTTCCCAATGAATGTTCTTGAAACTTTTGTTGAAAATGAGTTTACTGTAGATGGATGGATTTACTACTGGGTTCTCTGTTCTGTTCCACTGGTCTTTGTGTCTGTTATTATGCCAGATCCATGCCATTTGGTTTACTAAAGTTCTGTAGTATAATTTGAAGTCAGGTAATGTGATTCCTCCAGTTTTTCTTTTTGTTTAGGATAGTTTTGTCTATCCAGGGTCTTTTGTGGTTCCATATGAATTTTAGGATAGTTTTTCTATTTTTGTGAAGAATGTCATTAATATTTTTATAGAAATTGCATTGAATCTATAGATTGCTTTGGGTAGTAGGGAAATTTTAGCAATATTGATTCTTCCAATCCGTAAGCATGGAATATCCTTTTTTTGGTATCCTTTTCAATTTCTTTCGTCAATAATTTATAGTTTTCTTTGTAGAGATCTTTCACTTATTTGGTTAATTCCTAGTTATTTATTTCTAGCCACTAGAAATGGGATTAATTTTGATTTTTTTTTTCAGATTGTGTGCTGTTGGCATATACAAATGCTACCAGACTTTCTATGTTGATATTTTATATTGCAACTTTACTGAATGTTATCAGTTCTAATAGTTTTTTTGGTGGAATCTTTAGTTTTTTTCCAAATTTAAGATCGTATCACCTGCAAACAAAGAAAATTTGGCTTCTTCCTTTCCAGTTTGGGCATCCTTTATTTCTTTCTCTTTTCTGATTGCTTTAGCTAGGACTTTCACTAATATATTGAGTAACAAAAGTGAAAGTGGGCATCCTTGTTGTATTCTAGATCTTAGAGGAAAGGCTTTCAGTTTTTCCCCTTTGAGTATGATACTAGCTGTAGGTCTGTCATATATGGCTTTTATTACATAAAGGCATGTTCTTTCTATCTCAAGTTTTTAAATGTTTTTATTATGAAGGGATGTTGAATTTTATCAAATGCATTTTTAGCATCAATTGAAATGATCATATGGTTTTTGTCCTTCCTTCTGTCCTTCTGTTGATAATGATGCACAATGTATCATATTAACTGATTAGTGTACTTTGAACCATCCTTGCATCCCTGGGTTTAAGTTCCACTTGGTCATGTTGAATGATCTTTTTAATGTGTTATTGAATTTGGTTTGTCAGTTTTTTTGCTGAGAATTTTTTATTAATATTTATTGGAAATATTGGCCTGTAGTTTTCTTTTGTTCATGTGTCTTTGTCTGGTTTTGTAATCAGAGTAGTACTGGCCTTGCAGAATTAGTTTGGAAGTATTTTGTGCTAATATATTTTATGGAATATTTTCAGTTGGATTGGCACTACTTCTTTAAATGTTTGGCCAAATTCAGTAGTGAAGTCATTGAGTCCTCGGCCTTTTTTTTTTTTTTTTTTTTTAGAAGACTTTTTATTATGGCTTCAACCTTATTACTTGTTATTAGTGTCTTCCTTATGTTTTGGATTTCTCCATGGTTCAGTGTTGGTAGACTGTATGTGTCTAGGAACTTGTACCTATCTTCTAAATTTTCTAGTTTGTTGGCTTATAGTTGCTCATAGTAGCCTCTAGTGATCCTTTGAATATCTGTGGTATCAGTTTTCTTTTTTCTTCTCTAATTTTATTTGTATTTTCTCTCTGTGTTTCTTAGCCTGGTTAAAGGTTTGTCAATTATGTTTATCTTTTCAAAAAAAACCCCAACTTTTTGTTTCATTGGTCTTTTTTATTTTTTTTTTCATTTCAATTGCATTTATTTCCACTCCAATCTTTATTATTTCTTTTCTTCTGCTCATTTTCAGTTTGGTTTTGCTTTTGCTTCTCTAGGTATTTAAGATGCATTGTTAGGATGAATATTTGAAGTTTTTGTTTATTTTTTGATGTAGACACTGATAGTTGTGAACTTCCTACTTAGTACTGCTTTTGCTCTATAATATAGCTTTTGGATGTTATGTTTCTATTATCATTTGTTTCAAGAAATTTTGCAATTTTCTTCTTAATATCTTCATTGACCCTATCACATCCAGAAGCATATTATCTAATTTCTGTGTGTTCATATAGTTTTAAAAATTCCTCTTGTTATTGATTTCTAGTGTTATTACATTGTGCTCTGAGAAGATCTTTGATATTATTTCAATTTTTTGAATGTTTTAAGACTTCTTATGTGGCCTAACATATGGTCTAACCTTGAGCGTGGTCTGTTTGCTAAGAAAAAGAATGTGTATTCTGCAGCCATTGTTTGAAATGCTCTGTAAATATCTATTAGGGCCATTTGGTCTATAGTGTGAATTAGTCTGATGTTCCTTCGTTTGTTTTCTGTCTCGAAGATCTGTCCAACGCTGCAAATGTGGTGTTGAAGTCTCTAGCTATTATTATATTGGGGGCTATCTCTCTCTTTAGCTCTAATAATATTTGCTTTATATGTCAGGGTGCTCCAATGTTGGGTGCCAATATATTTAAAATTGTTGTATCCTCATCCTGAATTAATGCCTTTATCATTATATAGCGGCCTTCTTTGTCTCTTTATATAGTCTTAGTCTTGAAATATATTTTGTGTAATATAAATATAACTACTTCTGCTCCTTTTTAGTTTCCATTCACATGGAATATCTTTTTCCATACATTTATTTTCAGTCTATGCATGCATTTACAGGTGAAGTGTGTTTTTTGTTGGCAGCAGGTCTTTTTTTTTTTTTTTTTTTTTTTGCTATTTGGCCACTCAGTGTCTTTTGATTGGGAAGTTTAGTTCACTTACATTCCATGTTATTGATAAACAAGGACTTACTTTTACCATTTTGTTATTTGTTTTCTGGTGATTTTGTGGTGTTCACTTTCTTTTCTTTCCTTCCTGTCTCTTTTTAGTGAAGGTGATTTTCTCTGGTGATATGATTTAATTATTTGATTTTTATTTGTTGTGAATCCATTGTATGTTTTCGATTTGAAGGTATCATGAGACTTGCAAACACTATCTTATAACCCATTATTTTAAGTTGATAACAACCTAACACTGCATAAACAAAGAAACAAACAAGCAAAAATAAAACTAATAAACACCCTATGTCTTAATTTCATCCCCCCTTTTAACTTTTTGTTGTTTCCAATTATATTTTATTTTACTGTCTATGTCTTGAAATGTTATTGAAGTTATTATTTTTTATTGCTTCATCATTTAGCCTTTCTATTTAAGATAAGAGTGTTTTACCCACCACAGCTACAGTGGTATAATATTCTGTGTTTTTCTGTGTACTTACTGTTACCAGTAAATTTTGTACCTTCAGGTGATTAGTTATTGCTCATTAATGTTCTTTTCTTTCTGATTGAAGTACTTCCTTTGGTGTTTCTTGTAGAACGAGTCTGGTATTGATGATATCCCTCAGCTTTTGTTTGTCTGGGGGATATCTTTATATTTTATTAATGATACTTTTTAATAGATTTATTATTTATTTATTTCTGAGTCTTTATTTCTCCTTCATGTTTGAAGGACATTTTCACTGAATAGACTATTCTATGCTAAAGGTTTTTTGTTTTGTTTTGTTTTCTTTAGCACTTTAAATACGTCATACTACTCTCCCCTGGTCTGTAAGGTTTCCACCGAAAAGTCTGCTGCCAGACATATGACAGCTACATTGTGTTATTTATTTCTATTCTCTTTGTGACTTTAGGGCATTTCTTTATCTTTGTCCTTTGAGAGTTTTATTAAATGCCTTGAGGTAGTCTTCTGTGGGTTAAATCTGGTTGGTGTTCTATAATCATCTTGTACTTGGATGTTGATATCTTTCTCTAGGTTTGGAATGTTCTCTGTTATTATCTATTTGAATAAACTTTATACCCCCAAGCTCCTCTTGAAGGTCAGTAACTCATAGATTTGCCTTTTTGAGGCTGTTTTCTAGATCTTGTAGGTGTGCTTAATTGTTTTTTATAAATTTTTTTTTGTCTCCTATATTAGGTCCTTCTTGCATTGTTATAAAGAAATATCTGAGACTGGGTAATTCATAAAGAAAAGAGGCTTAATTGGCTCATGGTTTTGCAGACTTTACAGGAAGCACAGTTCTAGCATTTGCTCAGCTTCTGAGGAGGCCTCAGGACTCTTACACTCTCAGTAGGAAGGTAAAGCAGGAGCAGGCACTTTATATGGCAAAATCAGGAGCAAGAGAGAGAGAGAGTGAGGTGGGAAGTGCCACACACGTTTCTATGACCATATCTCATGAGAACTCCTTACACAAAGACAGCACTAAGTCATAAGGGATTAGCCCCCATGATCCAAACACCTCTCACCAGCCCCTACCTCCAGCACTGGGAATTACAATTTAACATGAGATTTGGGTGGGAACAAATATCAAAACTATATTATTAGACCCCTGACTCATCCCAAATCTCATTTCCTTCTCATATTGGAAAATACAAGCATGCCTTCCCAACTCTCCTCCAATGTCTTAACTCATTCCAACATTAACTCAAAAGTTCAAAGTCCCATTTGAGACAAGCCAAATCACTTCCACGTTTTAGCCTATTTTTTTAAAAAAAAGTTAGTGACTTTCAAGATATGATGGGAATATACACATTGAGTAAACTTTGTCATTCCTAAAGGGAGAAATCAGCCAAAAGATAGGGGATACAGGCCCCATGCAAGTTCAAAGCCCAGCAGACAAGTTACCTTAAAGCTCTAAATTAATCTCTTTTGACTCCATGTCCCACATCCAAGGCTTGTTGCTTGCACCCTCTGAAGCAGCAACCTGAGCTGTAACCTGGCACTACTGAGCCACAGCTGGAGCCAGAGTATCTAGTATATGGGAAGCAATGTCTCAAGGCTGCACAAGGCCATGGAATCCTTGGTCAGGCCCCTAAAACCATTCTATCCTTCTAGGCCTCTGGGCCTGTGATGAAAGGGGCTCTCAAAAAGGTCTTTGAAGTGCCTTTGAGGTCTTTTTCTCATTGTCTTGGATATTAACACTTGGCTCTCTTTTAGTTGTGCAGATATTTCTAGTAAGTGGTTCCTCCACAGCCCACTTGAGTTTCTTTCCCAAGGAAGAATTCTCTTTCTCTGCCACATGGCCAGCCTGCAAGTTTTTCAAACTTTTATGCTCTGCTTCCCTGTTAAATATATATTTCAACTTTAAATTATTTCTTTGCTCCTGCATTTGAGTTAGGTTGTTAGAAGCAGCCAAGGGACATCTTGAATAGTCTGCTGCTTAGAAATTTCTTCCACCATACACCCTGGGTCATCAATCTCAAGTTCAAACTTCTACAGAACCCTAGGGTATGGACACAATTCAGCCAAGTTATTTGTTATGGCATGATACTCATGACCTTTTCTCCAGTTCTCAGCAAGTTCCTCATTTCCATCTGAGACCTCCTTAGCCTGGATTTTGCTGTGCATGTCATTAACAGCATCTTTGTCAAAAGCATTTATCCAGTCTCTAAGAAATTACAAAAATTCCCTCATCTTCATTTCTTCTGAGCCTTTGAGAGTTTTCCAGTCTCTGCCCATTACCCAATTCCAAAGCTGCTTCCACATATTCAGGTATCTTTGTAGCAATGCCTCACTCCTTAGAATGAACTTTCTGTATTAGGCCATTCTTGTTTTTCTATAAAGAAATACCTGAGACTGGATAATTTTTTTAAAAGAGGTTTAATTGGCTCATGGTTCTGAAGGCTTTAAAGGAAGAATGGTGCTGGCATCTGTTTGACACCTAGGTAGGACACAGAAGGTTTATAATCATTACTGAAAGTTACACAGGAGCAGGCACTGTACATTGTGAAATCAGGAAGGAGAGAGAGAGTGGGGAGTGGGGAGGTGGCACACACTTTTAAATGAGCAGATCTCTTGAAAAGTCACCATCACAAAAACAGCACCAAGCCATGAGGGTTTCATGCCCATTATCTGAATACCTCCCACTGGGCCCCATCTCCAGCATTGGGAACTACAATTCAACATGAGTTTTGGAGTGCGACAAATATACAAACTATAACATCCCCTCTGACTGTGTATCTTTCAAATAGCCTACCAATAAGCTCACTAATTCTTTCTTCTGCTTGATTAATTCTGCTATTAAGACCCTGATGCATTCTTCAGTATGTCAATTGCATTTTTTTTTTCTTTTTGGAGACAGAGTCTTGCTCTGTTGGCCAGGCTGGAGTGCAGTGGCATGATCTCAGCTCTGCCTCCCGGGCTCAAGCAATTCTCCTGCCTCAGCCTCCCAAGTAGCTGGGATTACAGGGGTGTGCCACCACGCCTGGCTAATTTTTGTATTTTTAGTAGAGACAGGGTTTCACCATGTTGGCCAGGCTGGTCTTGAACTCCTGACCTCAGGTAATCCACCTGCCTCGGCCTCCCAAAGTGCTGGGATTACCAGGCGTGAGCCACCGTGCCCGGCCGTCAATTACATTTTTGAACTCCAGAATTTCTGCTTGATTTTTTAAAAAATTATTTTAATCTCTTTGTTAAATGTACCTAAAATAATTTTGAATTCCTTCTCTGTGTTATCTTGAAATTCTTTGAGTTTCCTCAAAACAGCTATTTTGAATTACCTGTCTGAAAGATCACATATATCTATTTTTTTTTTTTCAGTATTGGTCCTTGGTGTCTTACTTAGTTTACTTGGTGAGGTCGTGTTTTCCTGAATGGTCTTGATACTTGTGGATGTTCGTCTGTGACTAGGTATTGAAGAGTTAGGTATTTATTGCAGTCTCTTCTCAGTCTGGGCTTGTTTGTACCCATTCTTCTTGGAAAGGCTTTCCAAATATTCAAAAGTACTTGGGTGTTGTGATCTAAGCTGTATCTGCACTAGGGGGAATCCTAAGCTTAGTAACACTGTGGTTCTTGCAGACTAGAGGTACCACCCTAATAGTCTTGGACAAGATCTGGGATAATTCTCTGGATTACCAGGCAGAGATTCTTGTTCTCTTACTTTCTCCCAAACAAATGGAATCTATCTTTGTTCTGAACTGCCTTGGAGCTGGGGATGGAATGACATAAGCACTCCTGTGTCCACCACAACTAGAACTGTGCTGGGTTAGACCTGGAGCTGGCACAGCACTGAGTCTCATCCAAGGCCTATTGTAACCACTCTCTGACTACTGCCTGTGTTCAAGGTCCTGGGGCTCTACAATTATCATGTTTTGAAGCCAACCAGGATGGTGTCTTTCCCTTCTGGATGGCAAGTTCCCTCAGGCCCAGGGCAGATCCAGAGCTTCCATCAGGGAGTCTGAGACTGGAGACAAAAACCTTAGAAGTCTACCTTCTGTTCTGTTGTACTGTAGTCGTGCTGGCACTCAAACCACCAGATTCAATACTTTCAACTCTTCTTTTTCCAAAGGCAAAGGAGTCTCATCTTTGGCCACCACCCTATAGCCTAGGTGTGTAGTAGGCTACACCATTTGGGTTTATATAAGTACACTCTGTAGTATTTTTACAACAAAATCACCTAACAAGGCATTTTTTAGAATGTATTTTTATCATTAAATGATGCATGACTCTGTGTGTGCGTGGGGGGGGGGGGTGTAGAGAAAGAGATAAAGAGAGGAAGATAGATTTATTAAAAGGAAATGATTTACATAATTATGCAAGCTGACAAGACCTATGATCTGCTGTTGGCAAGCTGGAGACCCAGGAGAGTCAATGGTATAGTTCCAGTATGAAGGCTAACAGGCCCCAGACCCCAGACCCCAGAAGTTTCAACATTTCAGTGTGAGTCTAAAAGCAGGAAAAAATGATGTTTCAGGATAAAGACAATCAGGCAGGAATAATTATTTCTTTTCAGAGGAAAATCACCTGTTTTATTCTATCCAGGCTTTCAACTGATAGAATGAAGCCCATCGACATTAGGAAGGACAATCTTCTCTACTCAATCTAACAATTAAAATGTTAATCTTATCCCAAAACATTCTCACAGAAACACCCAGAATGTTTGGCCAAATATCTGAGCACCTCCTGTTCATGTTAATTTGACACATAAAATTAACCATCACAAGTCCACACCTTGTCAACTTGGCATCCATATGCATCTCCTTAAACCAAACCTAATCTCTAAATGGTAACAGGATCATAATTACAGCTAACATGATGTAGTCATCTTGTGTACAACTGAAACTGAACTAACCACTTCCACAAAAAAAGGTAAAATACTGGAGTGATGGTCCTGCTTCTCCTTGATATCTCATAACCTAAATAGTATGATGTAAAATGAACAATGCTTTAAAACTATTTTATAAAGTCCATACATTATATGTTACATGATAGGGGGAAATGAGAGCAAAATATTATTTACTTAATATATATTAGACATATATATGTTAATATATAATGTATAATTTTTATATATAAACATTTTTATGACAAAATAAAAAGGAAATTCTCATGAGAATTAGAGTCCTTATTTCTTTAACTGGTCACTTGTAATGCTGATATTCATCCCTATCTTCTTCCACTACCCATTTTGTACTCCCTTTGCCTTAAGCAAGCACCTCAGCTCATCCTGGTTCTTAACCTGGTGGTCCAAACCTTCATTCCTGAAGAGTTTGCGCTCTTAATAATCCTGTCTGGATTGAGTTGTTGTGGTTTTACATTGAACTTAATTACAGGGCATGGGACTATTGAGATGTTCTGAGGGATCTCCTGTATTATTCTCTTCCTCACCTCCATTGTAAAGTAGTCTTTACAGTGACTATATACTCTTCCTCACGTCCATTGTAAAGTAGTCTAATTTCCCCCTTAGTAGTCAGGATCCATCCCCTAAGCAGCACAGTAACTCCCACATTTGCCTGTTGATTCAGAGGCCTGAGGAGCCCAAGGAGGCTGGTTGGCTGTCTTAGCTTAAGTTCAACAGAATCATTGTTATGTTTTCAGTGGAAGCATTCTCCTCTCTGGAACTAAGCCCTCTATGCCAGCAGAGCATAAAGTTAGGGGAACAGGAATTAAAAAAAATTTTGTACTGGGTCACTTAGGAGTAATAGTAAGTGGTGCCACACCTATTTTCTCTTTTTTTTTATTATAACTTTTAGTTTCAGGAGTACATGTACAGTTTTGTTACATAGGTGTACTGTGTGTCATGGGGGTTTGGTGTACAAATTATTTTGTCACTCAGATAAGAAAAGTAACCAGTAGGTATTTTTTTCTCATCCTCTCCCTTCTCCTACCTTCTTCCTCAAGTAGGCCCTCGTGTCTGTTGTTCCCCTCTCTGGGTTCATATGTTTTTGTTGTTTAGCTCCCATTATTAAGTTAGAACATGTAGTATTTCACTATCTCTTCCTACACTAGTATGCTAATATTAATGACCTCCAGCTCCATCTATGTGGCTGCAAATAATATGATCTTGTTCATTTTCATGGCCGTATAGTATTCCATGTTGTATATGTATCATTTTTTTTTATTCAGTCTACCACTGATGCACATTTAAGTTGATTCCATGTCTTTGCTGTCACGAATAGTGCTGCAATGAACATTTGCATGCTTGTGTCTTTATGCTAGAGTCATTTGTATTATTTTTGGTATATACTCAATAAGGAGATGACTGGGTCAAATGGTAATTTTGTTTCAAGTTTTTTGAGGAGTTACCACACTGCTTCGCACAATGACTGAGCTAATTTACACTCCCACCAGCAGTGTAAAGGTGTTTCATTTTCTCTGCAACCTTGCTAGTATTTATAATTTTTTGACTTTTTAATAACAGCCGTTCGGACTGGTGTAAGATGGTAACTCATTGTGGTTTTCATTTATATTTCTCTAATGATTAGTGATGTTGAGAGTTTTTTTCATAAGCTTTTTGGCCACATGTATGTCTTTTTTTGTAAAGTGTCTGCTCATGTCCTTTGCCCGCTTCTTAATGGCTTTCTTTTTTGCTTATAAATTTGTTTATGTTCCTTAAAGATGCTAAATATTAGACCTTTGCTGGACCCATAGTTTGCAAATATTTTCTTCCATTCTGTAGGTTTTCTGATTATACCCTTGATAGTTTATTTTGCTTTGCAGAAGCACTTTAGTTTAATTATGTCCCACTTGTCAATTTTTGTTTTTGTTGCAATTGCTTTTGGAGTCTTTGTCCTTAAATCTGTGCCATGTTCTATATCCAGAATGTTATTTCCTAGGTTATTTTTCCAGGGTTTTTGTGGTTTTAGGTTTTACACTTGTCTTTAATGTACCTTCAGTTGATTTTTGTACATGGTGTAAGGAAAGGGTCCAGTTTTAATCTTCTGCAGATGGCTAGCCAGGTATCTCAACACCATTTATTGAAGAGGTAGTCCTTTCTCACTTGTTCCTTTTTGTCATCCTTGTAATAGATCAGATGGTTTTAGGTGTGAAGCATAATTTCTGGGCTCTCTGTTCTGTTCCGTTGGTCTATGTGTTTGTTTTTGCACCAGTACCATGCTGTTCTGGTCATTGTGACCTTGTGATACAGTTAGAAGTCAGGTAATGCGATGCCTCCAGCTTTGTTCTTTTTTATTAGGATTGCCTTGGATATTCAATATTTTTTTGAGTTCCACATGAATTTTAAAATAGATTTTCTAATTCTATGAAGAATGCCATTGCTAGTTTGATAGGCATAGCACTGAATCTGTGAATTGCTTTATGCGACATGGCTATTTTAATGATATTGATTCTTCTTGTCCATGAGCTTGGAATGTTTTTCCATTTGTCTGTGTCATCTCTGATTTATTTGAGTAGTGTTTTGTAATTCTCATTGTAGAGATCTTTCACTACCTTGGATAGCTATATTACTAGTTATTTTATTCTTTGTGTGGCAATTTTGAATGGAATTGCATTCTTGATTTGGCTCTCAGCTTAGATGTTCTTGGTGTATAGGAACGCCACTGAGTTTTGTACTTTGATTTTGTATCCTGAAAATTTGCTTGTTATTTATCAGATTAAGGAGCTTTGGGGCAGACTGTGGGGTTTTCTAGATATAATATCATGTCATCTGCAAACAGGGATAATTTGACTTCTTCTCTTCCTATGTTGATGTCTTTTATTAACTTATTTTCCCTGATTGCCCTAGACAGAACTTCCAGTACTATATTGACTAGTACTTGTTTTGTTTTGGTTTTCATGGGGAATGCTTTCAGCTTTTGCCCATTCAGTATGATCTTGACTCTGGGTTTGTCATAGATTGTTCTTACTGTTTTGAAGTATGTCCTTTCAATTCCTAGTTTATTGAGGTTTTTTGAATGAATAGTCTTTATAGTTTTTTGAAGAATATTTAGATATAGAATTGTATCAACCTATATCTTTTCTAGACAGAGAATTATGTCATCTGCAGAGATGAATGGTTTGACTTCTTCTCTTTCTATTTGGATGCTCCTTATGTCTTTCTCTTGCCTGATTGCCCTGGCTAGCACTTCCGATTCTAAGCCGAATAGGAATGGTGAGGGAGGGCATCCTTGTCATGTTCTGGTTTTCAAGGAGAATGCTTCCAGCTTTTAGCTATTCAGTGTGATGTTTCTGTGGCTTTGTCATAGGTGGCTCTTATTACTTAGAGATATGTTACTTTAATTCGTAGTTTGTTGAGAGTTGTTGATGTGAAAGGATGATGAATTGTATTGAAAGCTTTTTATGCATCTATTGAGATGATCATGTGGTTTTTTTCCTTAGTTCAGTGTATGTGATGAATCACATTTATTGATTTTCAAAAGTTGAAACAACATTGCATTGCAAAAATACAGCCCACTTGTTCTTGTAGAGTAGCTTTTTTATATGCTGCTGGATTCAGTTTGTTAGTATTTTGTTGAGGATGTTTGCATCTTTGTTCATCAAGGATATTAACCTAAAATTATCTCTTTTCTTTGTCTCTGCCAGGTTTTGGTACCAGGATGATGCTGGCCTTATTGAATAAGTTGTGGAAGAGTCCCTCCTTATCAATTTTTCTGGAATAGTTTTACTAGGAATGGTTTTAGCTCTTCTTTATATATCTGATAGAATTCAGCTGTGAATCCATCTGGTCCTGGGCTTTTTTTGGTCGGTAGTCTTTTTATTACTGATTCAATTTTGGAACTCATTATTTGTCTGTTCTGGGATTCAATTTCTTCCTGATTTAGTCTTGGTAGATTTTATGTGTCTGAGAATTTATCCATGTCCTCTAGATTTTCTAGTTTGTATGCACAGATGCATAGATATATTCATAGTTGTCTCTGAGGGTTTTTTGTTGTTGTCGTTGTTTTTCTGCAGGGTCAGTGGTAACATTTCCTTTGTCATTTCTAATTGTATTTATGTAGATCCTCTCTCTTTTTTATTCGGGTAGTTAGTGATCTATCTTTCTGTTTATTTTATTTTTTCAGAAAATACTCTCCTGGATTTTCTGACCTTTTCTGTTGTTTTTCACATCTCAATTTTCTTCACATTAGCTCTGATTTGGTTATTTCTTTTCTTCTGCTATCTTTGGGGTTGGTTGCCTTGTTACTCTCATTCCTCTAGTTGTAGTGTTAGGTTGTTAATTTGAGATCTTTCTAACTTTTTGATGTGGACATTTAGTGTTACAAACTTCCTACTTAATGCTGCCTTAGCTATATTCCAGACATTTTGGTATCTGGTATTTTTGTTTTCATTCATTTCAAAGAAGTTCTTGATTTCTGCCTTAACTTAATTATTTACCCAAAAGTTATTCAAGAACACAGTGTTTAGTTTCCATTTAATTGTATGCTTTTGAGTGATTTTCTTGGTGCTTATTTCTATTTCTATTGCTTTGTCATCCAAGACTGTGGATTGTATGATTTCAGGTTTTTGAATTTGCTGAGGATTTATTTTATATTTGATTGTGTGGTCGATTTTAGATTATGTCATGTGGTGATGAGAAGAATGTGTATTCTATTGTTTTGGGGTGGAGATGTCTATTAGGTCCACTTGTTCAAGTGTTGAGTGCAGGTTCTTATTGTTTTTGTTAATTTTGTTTTCTGTCTTGAGGATTTGTCTAATATTGTCTGTCAGGTGTTAAAGTCACTCACTGTTATTGTGTGGGAATCTAAATCTCTGTACATCTCTAAGAACTTGCTTGATGAATCTGGTTGCTCCTGTGTTGGGTGTATATATTTAGGATAGTTTGGTCTTCTTGTTGAATTGAACCCTTTATCATTATGTAATGCTCTTCTTTTTTCTTTTTGTTTTTTGTTGATTTAAAATTTGTTTTGTCTGAAATTCATACAGCAACCCCTGCTTTTTGTGTTTTCCATTTGCTTTAAATTTTTTTCCTTTCCTTTATTTTGAGCCTATGGGTGCCAGTGCATGTGTGATGGGTCTCTTAAAGACAACATACCCTTAGGTCTTGCTTCTTAATCCAGTTCTCCACTCTTTGCTGTTTAATTGGGCATTTAATTCATTGGTATTAAAAGTTAGTATTAATGTGTGCAGATTTGATCCTGCCATCATGTTGTTATGCAGACATGTTTGTGTGGTTGCTTTATAGTGTCACTGGTCCGTGTAATTAAGTGTGTTTTTGTAGTGGATGGTAGTGGTATTTCCTTTCCATATTTAGTGCTGCTTTTAGGACCTCTTGCAATTCAGGTCTGGTAGTAACAAATCTTTTCACCATTTGCTGAAAAGGATCTTATTTCGATCTTATTTCTCCTTCACTTCTGTTGCTTAGTTTGGTTGGAAATGACATTCTTGGTTGGAAATTCTTTTCTTTAAGAATGCTGAATATAGGCCTAGAGTCTCTCTTGGCTTACAGAGTTACTACTGAATGGTCCATTGTTAGCCTGGTTAGGTTCCCTTTGTAGGTAATGTGTCCCTTCTCTCTAGTTGCCTTTAACATTTTTTCTTTCATTCCAACCTGAGAGAATGTGATGATTATGATTCTTGGAGATGGTATTCTTGTCTAGTATCTCACAGTGGTTCTCTACATTTCCTAAATTTGAATGTTGGCCTCTCTAGTGAGGTTGGAGAATACTTCATGGATGATATCCTCAAATATGTTTTCCAAATTGCTTGGTTTCACCTCATCTCTTTCAAGGAAACTAGTGAGTTGTAAATTTGGTCTCCTTGCATAATCCCATATTTCTTGAAGTTTTTCTTCATTCTTTATTTTTCTTTATTTATATCTTACTGAGTAACTTCAGAGAGCCAGTCTTGGAGCACTGACCTTCTTTCCTTAGCCTGGTCTATTCAGCTGTTAATACTTGTGATTGCATTATGAAATTCTTGTTTTAAATTTATTTTTATTTTTATTTTGTGTGGGTACATTGATAGTAGGTGTATATATTTATGAGGTACATGAGATGTTTTGATATAAGCATGCAATGTGAAATAAGCACATCATGAAGAATAAGGTATCCATCATGTCAAGCATTTATCCATTGCATTGCAAACAAATCCCATTACACTCCTTATTAAAAAAAATAGTTATTATTGATTATAGTCACCCTGCTGTGCTATCAAATAGTAGGCCTTACTCATTCTTTCAAACTTTATTTTTGTACCCATTAGCCATCTCCACCTCTCCTCAACCCTCCACTACCCTTCCCAGCATCTGGTAACCATCCCTCTATTCTCTATGTCCCTGAGTTCAATTGCTTTGATTTTTAGATTCCATAAATAAGTAAAAACATGTGATGTTTGTCTTTATGTGCTGGGCTTATTTCACTTAAGATAGTTATCTCCAGTTCCTCCCATGTTATTGCAAATGACTGCATCTCATTATTTTTTATGGCTGATTAGTACTCGATTGTATATATTACTACTTTTTTTAATCCATTCATCTGCTAATGGACTGTTAGGTTGCTTCCAAATTTTACCTGTTGTAAACAGTGCTGCAACAAATGTAGGAGTGCAGATATCTCTTTGATATACTTATTTCCTTTCTTTTGGTTATATATCCTGCAGCGGGATTGGTGGATCATATGATAGCTCCATTTATAGGTATTATTATAGGTATATTATGAAATTCTTGTAGTATGTTTTTCAGCTTTATCAGATCAGTTTAGTTTCTTTTTTTATAATGGCTATTTTGTCTATCGTATCATTTATCATTTTATTGTAATCATAGATTCCTTGGATAGGGTGTCAACTTTCTCCTGAATCTCAGTGATTTTTGTTCCTATCCATATTGTGTATTCTAGTTCTTTTTTTTTTTTCAGCCATTTCAGCCCATTTAAGAACCCTTGCTAGGGAACTAGTGCACTAATTTAGTGGAAAGAAACCACTGTGGCTTTTTCAGGTGCCAGATTTCTTTTTCTGGTTCTTTGTCATCTATGTAGGCTGTTGTTCTTTTACCTTTGGTGTAATTTGAGTACAGCCAGTAGACTTATTTTCTGGATGTTTTCAGAGGGTGAAGGCTTTGTGTGGGGTCTTTAATTTTAGCTGAATTTTTGTCCTTGTTTCACAGGGCCTATATTAGGAAAGTGCTTTTGGTGCTGAAGTTTTGATCTGTGATCCAATAGTTGGTGCTTATGTGTAATGGCAAGTAGGTAGCTTCTTGCTCATCCACGGGGTCCTCTGTGTTTCCTCATGATTTCAGTCATTCTCCCTCTCAGTGCTTTGAAAGTGTGGAATCTTCTCCCTCTTGAGTGCTGGCTGCAGATGTTGGCTTGGCACTCCAAGGCAGCATACCACAGGTCTGGAAGCAAGCTCGGGATTTATATTTCCTCTTCAGCATGGAGGCAGCAGGGGAAGGGAACTTAGCGATGGTTATGGCAGTGGGCCTTTCACTTGTCTCTGGAAGCTTCACATGACAAAGATGCAGGGCTGCTATCAATCAGTTCAGTCAGGCTGGAATGGGGCAGCTGTTCTGTGAGCCCAAACCAGGGAGCCCTGACTGGTAATGAGCAGGGGTTTGGGTGGGTCACTGGGGAGACAGACTGGCCTCTTAAGACAACTGCAGCTTTCTGGAGGTGCTGTTAACCTATCCAGAGTCCTCGACCCTTCTCTATTCCGAGGGCAGCAAGGACAGTACACCTGCAGTGGCAGTGGGAAAGGGGCTTTCAGTTGCCTCTGGGGGCTACACCTCAGAGAAACTTGGAGTTGCCACTACTGCGAATGTTCAGCCAAGGGTTGTGGTGGCCACACTGCTGGCCTGAGCTGATGGCTCTGCTTGTTGAGGAGCAGGGGTTCAGTGGCTTACAGGGAGGTGAAACTGAGTTCCTCTTTATATGGTGACTGGGTGTGTGGTGTGTGGGTGAGGTCTTCAGGATCTTTATTTCCTCACCTGACCAAGGGCAGCAGGGGCAGAATCACTGCTGTTGCAGTGGCAGAGGGGCTGTCAGTTACCTGTGGGAGCCCCTTCCCAGGGAAACCCAAAGCCACTACCAGTGGTTGTGCTCAGCCGTGGGTTAGATGGCTGATCTGTATTCCTGAGCCAGGGGCGCTGTCTGTTGATGAGTGGGAGATGGGGGCTCACAGAGAAGAGGGACTGGATTTGTTTCTGTGTGGTGACTGTGGTGTGCTGGATGTGTCAAGTTAGTGACTAGTCCCTTTGTTCCTTCCACAGCCCTACGGCATCAGGGTGGCACTACTGCAGTTGCAATGGTGAAATGGTTGTGGGTAGTCTCTGAGATTTCCTCCTCACAGAACTGCAGAGCCACCTCCAAAGTAAGTGTTCAGGTAGGGGCAGGGTAGTCGTGTTCTTTATTATGTTAAACATACCTACCTTGCCTTTGGCAGTTTGGTGCTGCCACTTGCCTCCTGCCACACTGCTATCCAATTACTTCCATTGCATCTAAGTTTCCCAATTCAGTTACTGCATTATCCTCTGTAAGATCTGGCCTACAGAGAAGAGTGATCAAAATTCTTCAGGGATCCTGGGACTTCCTGTAATCGATTTATTTTTTCTCAGTTTTGGTGAAAGGTACATCTCCTGGACCGTCCCAGTGTGAATAATTAAGTCTTAATATTAGAGTAGACAAATCTACTCTAATATTCCAGACTCTCTAAGCCTTTAAATACTTTTCTCTACATTGAGCCGAAGCAGGTGGACAATTTCCAATTCACTCACTTTGAGCCTCCTTTGGGTTCATATTTTGGGCAACCAACCAAACAAACGCAAATCATATCACAATGGAATTAAACTAGAAAAAGTAACTGAAAGATAGCTAGAAAATTTTTTAGAATTATAAATTAAACAATAAACTTCTAAATAGCAGATTGGTCGAAGAAGTCTCAAGAGAAATTTTAAAAATATTTTGAACTGAATGAAAATGAAAACACAACTTATTAAAATATGTGAGATTCAGTGATAGCAATGATTAACACAAAACTTATAGCATTGAATTCGTATATTAGAAAAAAAGAAAAACCTAAAATGAATGGTATAAGCTTCCTTTTCAGGATACTGTAGAAAGAAAAACAACATAAACTGAAAGCAAAGAGAAGAAAAAAGTAAAATTTAGAGTAGAATTCAATGAAATTGAAACAAGAAAACAGTAAAGAAAAATAATAAAATCAAAAGCTGGTTCTTTCAGAAGATCAATAAAATTGATAAACCTCTAGCTAGGCTAATCAAGAAAAAATAGAGGAAATACAAATTAGTATTAACCTCTGAAATGATAAACGCTCCATCATTACTGACTCCAATGAACATTAAAAGGGCAGTAAATGAATATTATTAATAACTGCACACTTAAAAATTTGATGATTTAGATTTAATTTTAAAAATTCCTTGAAAGTTACAATCTATACAGCTAGCACAAAAGGAAAAAGATAATCTATATATTCCTTTATTAAAGAAATTACATCACTAATTAATAACTCTCTAAAACAGAAAGCACCAGACCAGATGAGTTTACTGTAGAACTCTACCAACCATTTAAGGATGAAATTGTGCCAATTCCCTGTAATCTTGTCCAGAAGATGGAAACTGAGGGAACACTTTCTAACTCATTGTGAGTTCAGAATAAAACCAGATAAAAGCATTACAAGAGAGAAAAACTACAGATCAGTGTCTCTCATGAACATAGATAGAGAAATCCTCAACATAATGTCGGGTAATCAAATTCAGCAATGAATAAAAATGTATACACTATGTCTATGTGGGATTTATTCTAGATATTTATGCTAGTTCAACATTTAAATATCAGTTATTTGTAGTCTTTCACATAAACATGCTAAAAATACATGATAATATCAATAGATGCAAAAAAAGCATATGATAAAATCTAAAACCCATGAATGATAAAAACTCTTCAGAAATGAAGAATAAAGAGGAACTTTCCATATTAATAAAGGACATCTACACAAAGCCTACAGTGAACGTCATACTTTGTGATGATACTGTGAACAAAGCAAGTCTGTCTCCTGTCAGCATTCCTATTCACAATTATACTGGAAGTCCTAGCTAATGCAGTATATCAAAAAAAGAAAATACAAGGTATACAAATTGGGAAGAAAAATAAATCTGTATTTGTTTACAAATGACATTATTTTTAATATAGAAAGTTTCAAATAATTAGCAAAAGACTCTTGGAATTAGTAAAAGATTATTACAAGGATGCAGCACAGAAAGTTAATATACAAAATGCAATTGCTTTCTTATATTCCAGCAATAAATAATTTGAATGTAAAATTAAAAACAATAAAATTTACATCAGCACCTAAATATGAAGTAATTGGGGAAAATTTAATAAAATATGTACAAGATCTTTATGAGGATAACTACAAAACTTATGAAAACATATAAGAAAGATCTAAATGCATGGAGACCTTTTATTAACATTTGTAAATAAGAAGGCTCAATATTGTTAAGAATCTAGTTCTTCCTAACTTGATCTATAGATTCAATGCATTCCCAATCAAAATCCCAGCAAGTGTCTATGGAATGAGAAAATAATTAGAATAGCCAACCCAATAATGAAGAAGAACAAAGTTGAAGTATTGACCATACTTAACTTGATGACAAACTGTAAAGCTTCGATAATTAAAACAATGTCATATTGGAAAAATAGTAGATGAAGAGATTTAAAGGAACAGTATAAGGAACTAAGGAAGCAGACACACAAATCTAGTCCACTGATAATTCAACAAAGGGGCAAAGGCAATTCAGCGGTAGAAATACAGTATTTTCCAGAAACATCTTGAAAAATTGGGCATCCACATGCCAAAAAATGAATCTAGACACCGATTTTATATCTTTTACAAAAGTTAATTCAAAAAAGATTATAAATCTGAATGTAAAATGCAAAACTATAAAACTTCTAGTAGATTGCAAGACAAAACATAGGTGACCTTAAATTTGTTGATGACTTTTTAGATAAAATACCAAAAGCATAGTTTTTGAAAGAAAAAATTGATAATTTGGACTTCATTAAAATTAAAAGCCTTTTTATCTGCTAAAGAAATTGTTGAGAGATTACAGAGATAATCCCCAGATTTGGAGAAAATGTCCGCAAAACACATAACTGGTAAATGACTTGTATCCAAAATATATGAAGAACTTTTAGAAACTCAACATCAACAACAACAACAAAAAACAACCCAACTGAAAAATAGGCAAAAGATCTAATCAGACCCTCACCAAAAATACACAGATGACAAATAAGCATATGAATGCTCAACATCACTTGTCATTAAAAAAATTGTAAATTAAAGCAATGAGATACCACCACATGGCTTTTAGAGTGGCTAAAATCCAAACACTTGACAATAACAAATGCTTACAAGGATGTGGACCAACAGAAAGTCTTGTTCATTGCCGAGGGGAATGCAGAATGCTGCAGTCACTTTAGAAGATAGTTTGGCAGTTTCATACAAAGGTAAATAATCCAGCAACTTCATTCCTATGTACTGACTCAATTTATTTGAAAGCTTATGTGCATACAAATACCTGAACACAAGAATTTATAGCAGCTTTATTTATAATTGCCAAAAACTGGGAGAAACCTAGATGCCTTTGAAAAGGTGAATGAATAAATAAACCTCGGTACATTGATACAATGGGATATTATCCAATAAATCAAAACGCTATTAAGCCTAAAAGACAAAGCAGAAACTTATATGGATGTTACAAATTTTGGCATTCTCCAACCAGTCTCCTCAATTTTGGAGGCAGTGGCTTGCTGTGATCCTGCCTCTCTGATGGATCTAAGATTTGTTGATTTTTCAGTTTGTCCATCTTTTTACATATTGTTAGAATGGAGTAATGACTTCCACATTTTTTTACGTCACACCAAAACCCAGAATTCCAACACTCATTTCCAATAAATAAAACATATTAGCAAAATGTAGTATGAGGAAAACCACCCAATTTGATAACAGAAATACACACAAAACCTGCACCTTAATTACTCCACCAGATATTTGGAATGAAAAAGAGATGGACACTATCTCCACCTCTATTCAATGTTGTACTGGAAAACCTAACTAGTAAAATATGGCAGGAAATGACAATGCAATAAGTACTGGAAATGAAGAAAGAAAATCTTTGTCTTTGCAAATGCATAGAAAGTATGTAACAAGCTACTACGAGAATATTACAATTAATTAAGGAAATATATATTGTATACAAAGTAAATAGAAGAGATGAATTTATTTACATAAAGCAAACAAAATAAAGTTTAAAAATCATAGCAATTACATCATTAAAAATATCAAATACTCTTATAAGTAAATCTAATGAAGTATATAACCTCCAAAATAAAAAAAACTGCAAAACATTTTTGTATGCAAATTGTGTCTCACTAAAGCTGTTAAAAAATAAATGCAGTGTAGCCAAGATTATGGCCATAGATTTATGCTAGAATGTACACATTCAACTAAGAACAGAGGAAATTCCTTTTCCTTGCAACTATTTATCTGATGTCTTAGCTCAGAAGGCTACAACAGAATACCATAGACTGGGTGGCTTAAAACACAAACATTTATTTCTCACAGTTTTAATGTATGGGAAGTCCAAAATCAAGGCACTGGCAGATCTGGTGTGTGATGAGAGCATTCTTCCTGGCTTGCAGATAGTGGTCTCCTCATTGAGTTCTCACATGGCCTAGAGAGAAATAATCTCTCTTGTCTTTCTTCTTATAAGGAAACTACACACATTCATTAGTGCTCCCTCCTCATGATCTAATTATTTCCAAAATGCCATCACATTGGAGGTTAGGATTTTGTTATGGGATGAATGTTTCTGTCTTCCCACCACCATCCCAAATTTATCTTTTGAAATCCTAGTCTTTGATGTAATGGTATTAAGAGAGGAGGCATTTGGGAGATAATTATTTCATGAAGGTGGAGCCTTCAGAAATGGATTAGTGCATTTATAAAAGAACTACAGATCCAATCAGCCATATCTACAGGAGCCAGGCACTAGCTATTCTTTGAGACCAGGGAGGAATTATTTCTTCAAGGTGATTCAGAGATCATTAGGGCTGGCACTCTCACTATAGGCCCAGAGTACATGGTGAGAGGGGGCATGGGAACAGCAGAGCTAGTTGCTCTCTGTTTCAAGTGGGCCAGCATGCCTCTTCCCAGTGCCTCAAGTATGGGACCCATCAGAGAACTGTAGTGTGGGCTGTATCCAGCGAGCTGTGGGGATGGGGACACTCAGAGCCTCTGTCTTCAAGTTGGGCATGGCCAATAAGAGACATTATCAATAGCTCAAAAAATTGGTAGAGTGCAATGTCAGGGTAGCAATTGCTTTGGATCCTTTCTTATCAGATTATATGTTGTCAGGAGCCCTGTACCATTATATAAGGGGCCACATCTTTTATTGGATGGCCCCATCCAACAACCAGAGTTTGAGTTCTCACCAAGTCTCTGTATCTAATACCTCCTGTTACCCCTTCAAAATTAAAAGTGGTAATGTCTCTTTGCTGTTGTTAATATCAGTGCACTTTATCATACTGCATTGTTTTCACATTTTGGTAAATGGTAATTTTTATTAAACTCTCTTTAACTACACTGATTTAGTGTTCCATCTGTTTTCTGTCAAGAATTACACTAACTTAGGGATTCATCTGCCTTTTATTCCCAAGACTGACTGATTCAGAGCTACACAATGCATTTATTGTGTATTCCTAAACAAATAATATTTGTCCACATACAATAATAGAGAGGTGGCTTGAGATAAAAAATATTTGCAAATATTTAATATTCTTTGAGCATGATGAAATGCCAACATCATTAAAACAATAAATAAACCTTCTTTTACATAAAAGAAAATGATTTAGCTCTTATTTCCTATTGAAACTGTCATTTTATAACAAATACACTTATGAGTATAGACAACATTGAAATGGATATTTGCTTTTCAATATAGATTGTTATGTTCATACATTGAAATACAATAAACCACTGTATGTTACCTCCTGTATATCTATAGTAAACAAGGAGAATAATAATATTTTGGGGTTCATTAGGGCATGCGTTCCTAAACTAGATTTCTTCATAACTGAAGTGTCTTAGTGAATGGAAAATAATTAATAACGATCCTTCTTCCCTAATTAAAAATAAATTGTGCTCTAAAACATTTCAAAATGTATCTGGGGAAATTAATACTATGATCTCTGACTTTAGAAATAAAAGATAAATAAAATAAAAATAATTACTCTTTACCACTTGATAAATTATGTTTTTTAATTTTTGTTATCGCATCTTTATGAATATTTTACTCTCTGACAAAATTGCATAAGCATTTGATTATTTTTGTAGGTTTCTATATACTACCAATAGTCAAGATCAAAGAAGATGGTGAAAAGCAAGCAAAACTTGGAATAATCTTAACAAAATTAAGCTTGAATTTCTTGAATCGTTGCATTAATAAGCATTTGCATTTGTACAAAGCCAATTGAAAGTAATTTCCCCTAACTGTTGTAGTTGTTATTTAAAATATAATTTAATTTTCTTTAGATAAACTTCTTGCTCACAAAGAGGATTTCTGAAAACATGGGTAGCATAGTGTTAAAATTATGAATAATCTGAGATTTTATTCTATTTGCAAGATGGCAAGTTAATCTGCCACGGTTTCATTGATGCTGGCAGAAGGCATGAGACTCTTCAAACAGAAACAAAGTATAGTTTACTGCTTGCAATAATGCAGTAGTCAAAATACTAGCAATTTTGCAAGTTTCCTGGGCCCCAGTTTACACAGGGCACTGAGAGGAGGGTAAGGTGATACCTGCATAAGCAATAGGTTCTATTACTGGAGAGGAACCTCAAGCACAGGGAATCCAAACCTTTATAATAGTAAGATCACCTGATCTTTTCCCTGGAGAAAGGATTTTTTTTAACTTTTATTTTAGTTGCAGGTATACATGTGCAGGTTTGTTATACAGGTAAATTGCATGTTACGGGGCTTGGTCTATAGGTTATTTCATCACCTAGGTCATAAGCATATTACATGATAAGTCGTTTTTTTGTTTGTTTGTTTGTTTGTGGTTTTTTTTGAGATGGAGTCTCGCACTGTTGCCCGTGCTGGAGTGCAGTGTTGCGATCTCGGCTCACTGCAACCTCTGCCGCCCGGGTTCAAGCGATTCTCCTGCCTCAGCCTCCTGAGTAGCTGGGATTACAGGCACCCGCCACCACACCCAGCTAATTTTTTGTATTTTTAGTAGAGACAGCGTTTCACTATGTTGGCCAGGCTGGTCTCAAATTTCTGATCTTGTGATCCACCTGCCTCGGCCTCCCAAAGTGCTGGGATTACAGGTGTGAGCCACCGCGCCCAGCAGATAAGTCGTTTTTTGATCCTCTCCCTGCTCCCTCCCTCCACCCTCAAGTAGGCCCTGGTGTCTTTTGCTCACTTGTGTACACGTGTTCTCAGTGTTTAGCTCCTACTTATAAGTGAGAACATGCAGTATTTATTTTTCTGTTCCTGCATTAGTTCATGTAGGATAATGGGAGAGAGGCCTTTTTATTATACTTAAAGAAACAAATGTGCCCTTGATTTCAGAAGATCTCAGGCTCATGTTTCCAGTAGCATGTTTTATGCCCCATTTGTCATGGAGCTAAGTCTGGATATGTAACTGGTTAAACCAGCTTTAAAACACGAACCCATGCACTCCTAAACAATGTAAACAAGTTGTTTCTGGCTATTGCCAAATGAGTTTCAAACTTTAAATGCCACATTACAAATTAATACCTTACTTATATGGGCCCTATCTTAATAGAGAGCCATTCCAAGCTTCCTGTTATCCACTCTCTATTTGATATTGTACATGGGGCTCTAGCAATGAAATAAGAGTAAGAAAACAAGATGTAGGGGGAAGAGCTAGAATAAAAAATATAAAACTATCCTTGTCAGGAGCATTTATAGTGTGTAATGGGTACAAACATACAGTTAGATAGGGGCAATAAGATCTAGTGTGAGGGAGCACAATAGAGGAACATTAGTTAACAATAATTTATCATATATTTTGAAATAACTAAAAGAGTGGAACTGGAATGTACCTAACACAAAGAAGTGATAAATGCTTATGGTGATGGATATACCAATTACCATTATTTGACATTACACGTTGTATGCTTATATCAAAATACAGTATGTATCTCATAAATATGTACAACTATTATGTATCCATAATAATTAAAAATAAAAAATAATAAATCTAAAATAACATACAACAAATAAGATTAATGTGTAAATTTAGCAAGGAACCCTATATTAGATCAATAGTTAAAAATGAATTGTATTTCTATATACAAACAAAAACAAAATTGAAAAATCAAGAATAATGATTTATAACAGCAAAATCCATAACATATAAAGAAAACCACAAAACACATGCAACCCTTTTATTCTGAAAATGACAAACATTAATGAGATAAATTAAAGAATACATACATAAATGGAAAGATTTACTATACTCATGGATTTAAGACAAAATATTTTCATTATGTCAACTCTCCCAAAATTGATCTGTAGATTAAATGGAAAGTATATTCAAAATCCTACATGATTATGTTACTAAAATTGAAGAGATAATTTCAAAATTGAAATGAAATTACTAAGGCCAAGATTAGACAAGGCAATCTCAAACAAGAAATAACAAAGTTGGAAAACTTATACTACAAGGTATCAAAATTTATTATAAAGCTACAGAAAATGCTGATTTTTTTAAAAAAAATGTATATTTGCTGGCAGTTCATGGAAAAATTAAGCAGAAAATATAGAGAATTCCCATATCCCTTCTGATACCCATCCCCAAGACAAACTTCCTCATTATCAACATCTTACATCAGAGTGGTATATTTGTTACAATCAATAAACCTACACTGACACATCATTATCATCCAAAGTCCATAGTTGCTTATATTAGGGTTCAGCCCTAGTATTGTATATTTTATTGGTTTTTTGAAAGGAAAATAAGTCTCCCCAAAATCACTAAGCCAAAGGGAAAAGTCAAGCTGTTAACTGCGTTAGGCAAACCTGCCTCCCATTCTATTCCTAAATAAGATAGCGTAAAGATTAAAAAAATCTACATACCTTCCTCGCAATTTGCCCATAGGAAATTCCTTGTGAACAACAGACACACAGAACTCAGTGTCATCCTTCTGCTCACATGAGACAACCGCGTATCTGATTGTTTCCATTGACCTATTGCTTCACTAAGCCAGACTAATGCATAAGTGACTATTCCTATAAATTGCACATTCAGTGAAAGGCTAATCAGAAACTCAAAAGAATGAAACCGTTTTTCTCTCATCCACCTATAACCTGGAAGCACCCTCCCCTTTTTGAGTTGTCTTGCCTTTCCAGACCAAATCAATGTACATATTACATATACGGATTGACGTCTCATGTCTCCCTAAAATGTATAAAGCCAAGCTGTGCCTCTATCGCCTTGGGAACATGGCATCAGGACCTCCTGAGGCTGTGCCATGTGGGTATTCTTAACCTTGGCAAAATAAACTTTCTAAATCGAGACCTGTCTCAGATATTTGGGGTTCACTTTTAGTAACCATGAGTGGACATTGAGTGGAGGTGGCCTTGACCTTTGACAAATCTATCAGGGCTTGCTACCAGCTTGAGCTATCTTTATGGCTCAAACCCAATAGGACAATTTTCTGAGGGCTGGGAGCTCCTCTCCCTCCAGATAACCCCTGATCTTCCAAAATTTGGTTGAGATCAAAAACTATTTTGCTGTACAATTCTTTTTTCTGGAGTTTTACTTGCTTCCAACTAGGAAGGCAAGTTTTCCTGCTTCCATGACAATGGAAGGCAGTTAACACCTTTCTGTAGTTTGAGCTCACTTCCAACAGGGAAGGAAGGTGAGTTTGAGTTTTTTCCTGCTTCTAGAATGGTAGAAAGCAGTCTTCAGCCTGAGACCCACTCCTAGTTAAGTAGTTGAATTGGAGCTTCATATTGGCTAAAGTTACAATTCTTAGTCATCTTATTACAGTAGATAGTTACTCAGGTATGAAAAGGGCAGAGGAGAACTACCCACACACACACCAGGAGTGTTGGGAGACCATCAGGTTGACAGTCAGGTGGTTTTTAACTGTTTCTCTAAAGTAATAATTGGTCACAGCCAGTGCCAGGGAAAGGCAGTCTCCTAGTAGATAGAACACACCTGAAACTGATCAGAAACTTCCCAATAAGATCTCAGGAGTGCAGAGAAGTAATCTAAGATCTCAGAAGTATGGCAATGTATAAAACCCGAAGTCAAGAGGTCAGGCTGAGCACTTGGTTTCTCAAGTCAGCCGCTTGAAAGTTATACTATTCTTTTTTTCTTTCCTTTCCTTCCTTTAATAAACTTCTACTCCTGCTCTGAAACTTGCCTAGGCCTCTTCTGCCTTATGCCCCTCATTCATATTCTTTCTTCTGAGGAGGCAAGAATTGAGGTTGCAGCCGATCTATACAGATTCACCGCTGATAACACGGATTTCTTCCACCGGTAACAGTGTAGCTTAATTTCTCCTTACCATTAGAGTGCTTGGTAATCATATTGTGGGGTTTTTTGTTGTTGGTTTTTCAGGTCTTTCTCCCATCAGATTTGACCAACTCTACCTGAATTGGTCAAATCCGAATGATAACTCAAAATTATGGGAAACAAGGCCTTTCTGAATTGGCTAAAATTCCTTCAGCTGCAAAAAGGAAAGAAGAAAACAAAAACAAAATAACAAAACCATGTGTTTGGCTTCTGTGTTTGCTTCCCGTCTTTAAAAAAATGATCTTTCATTTACTTTTCTTCCACCCTATTCCTCCTTCCCCCTTCACCATCTTCGGTACCAAGAAAAATCTAGAGAAGGTTTCTAATGACTAAAACCCCTTGAAGAGCTCAGAGCAAATAATGACACTCACTCCGTTTTGGGGGTTCTGTTTTCTTTATCTTTTTTTTTCTTTTATTATTATACTTTAAGTTTTAGGGTACATGTGCACATTGTGCAGGTTAGTTAAATATGTATACATGTGCCACGCTGGTGCGCTGCACCCACTAACTCGTCATCTAGCATTAGGTATATCTCCCAATGCTATCCCTCCCCACTCCCCCCACCCCACAACAGTCCCCAGAGTGTGATGTTCCCCTTCCTGTGTCCATGTGATCTCATTGTTCAATTCCCACCTATGAGTGAGAATATGCGGCGTTTGGTTTTTTGTTCTTGCGATAGTTTACTGAGAATGATGATTTCCAATTTCATCCATGTCCCTACAAAGGACATGAACTCATCATTTTTTATGGCTGCATAGTATTCCATGGTGTATATGTGCCACATTTTCTTAATCCAGTCTATCATTGTTGGACATTTGGGTTGGTTCCAAGTCTTTGCTATTGTGAATAGTGCCGCAGTAAACATACGTGTGCATGTGTCTTTATAGCAGCATGATTTATAGTCCTTTGGGTATATACCCAGTAATGGGATGGCTGGGTCAAATGGTATTTCTAGTTCTAGATCCCTGAGGAATCGCCACACTGACTTCCACAATGGTTGAACTAGTTTACAGTCCCACCAACAGTGTAAAAGTGTTCCTATTTCTCCACATCCTCTCCAGCACCTGTTGTTTCCTGACTTTTTAATGATTGCCATTCTAACTGGTGTGAGATGGTATCTCATTGTGGTTTTGATTTGCATTTCTCTGATGGCCAGTGATGATGAGCATTTTTTCATGTGTCTTTTGGCTGCATAAATGTCTTCTTTTGAGAAGTGTCTGTTCATGTCCTTTGCCCACTTTTTGATGGGGTTGTTTGTTTTTTTCTTGTAAATTTGTTTGAGTTCATTGTAGATTCTGGATATTAGCCCTTTGTCAGATGAGTAGGTTGCAAACATTTTCTCCCATTTTGTAGGTTGCCTGTTCACTCTGATAGTAGTTTCTTTTGCTGTGCAGAAGCTTTTTAGTTTAATTAGATCCCATTTGTCAATGTTGGCTTTTGTTGCCATTGCTTTTGGTGTTTTGGACATGAAGTCCTTGCCCATGCCTATGTCCTGAATGGTAATGACTAGGTTTTCTTCTAGGGTATTTATGGTTTTAGGTCTAACATTTAAGTCTTTAATCCATCTTGAATTGATTTTTGTATAAGGTGTAAGGAAGGATCAACAAAATAGATAGACCACTAGCAAGACTAATAAAGAAAAAAAGAGAGAAGAATCAAATAGATGCAATAAAAAATGATAAAGGGGATATCACCACTGATCCCACAGAAATACAAACTACCATCAGAGAATACTACAAACACCTCTACGCAAATAAACTAGAAAATCTAGAACAAATGGATAAATTCCTCAACACATACACTCTCCCAAGACTAAACCAGGAAGAAGTTGAATCTCTGAATAGACCAATAACAGGATCTGAAATTGTGGCAATAATCAATAGCTTACCAACCAAAAAGAGTCCAGGACCAGATGGATTCACAGCCGAATTCTACCAGAGGTACAAGGAGGAACTGGTACCATTCCTTCTGAAACTATTCCAATCAATAGAAAAAGGGAATCCTCCCTAACTCATTTTATGAGGCCAGCATCATTCTGATACCAAAGCCGGGCAGAGACACAACCAAAAAAGAGAATTTTAGACCAATATCCTTGATGAACATTGATGCAAAAATCCTCAATAAAATACTGGCAAAACGAATCCAGCAGCACATCAAAAAACTTATCCACCATGATCAAGTGGGCTTCATCCCTGGGATGCAAGGCTGCTTCAAAATACGCAAATCAATAAACATAATCCAGCATATAAACAGAGCCAAAGACAAAAACCACATGATTATCTCAATAGATGCAGAAAAGGCCTTTGACAAAATTCAACAGCCCTTCATGCTAAAAACTCTCAATAAATTAGGTATTGATGGGACGTATTTCAAAATAATAAGAGCTATCTATGACAAACCCACAGCCAATATCATACTGAATGGGCAAAAACTGGAAGCATTCCCTTTGAAAACTGGCACAAGACATGGATGCCCTCTCTCACCACTCCTATTCAACATAGTGTTGGAAGTTCTGGCCAGGGCAATTAGGCAGGAGATGGAAATAAAGGGTATTCAATTAGGAAAAGACAAAGTCAAATTGTCCCTGTTTGCAGACGACATGATTGTGTGTCTAGAAAACCCCATTGTCTCAGCCCAAAATCTCCTTAAGCTGATAAGCAACTTCAGCAAAGTCTCAGGATGCAAAATCAATGTACAAAAATCACAAGCATTCTTATACACCAACAACAGACAAACAGAGAGCCAAATCATGAGTGAACTCCCATTCACAATTGCTTCAAAGAGAATAAAATACCTAGGAATCCAACTTACAAGGGATGTGAAGGACCTCTTCAAGAACTACAAACCACTGCTCAATGAAATAAAAGAGGATACAAACAAATGGAAGAACATTCCATGCTCATGGGTAGGAAGAATCAATATCGTGAAAATGGCCATACTGCCCAAGGTAATTTACAGATTCAATGCCATCCCCATCAAGCTACCAATGCCTTTCTTCACAGAATTGGAAAAAACTACTTTAAAGTTCATATGGAACCAAAAAAGAGCCCACATCGCCAAGTCAATCCTAAGCCAAAAGAGCAAAGCTGGAGGCATCACACTACCTGACTTCAAACTATACTACAAGGCTACAGTAACCAAAACAGCATGGTACTGGTACCAAAACAGAGATATAGATCAATGGAACAGAACAGAGCCCTCAGAAATAACACCGCATATCTACAACTATCTGATCTTTGACAAACCTGAGAAAAACAAGCAATGGGGAAAGGATTCCCTATTTAATAAATGGTGCTGGGAAAACTGGCTAGCCATATGTAGAAAGCTGAAACTGGATCTGTTTTCTTTATCTAAATTGACTACCCATAGGGACCAGCCAAAGGTCTTTTCTTTTGCCTTTGAGTAATTGTCCTAATAAAGAGATTTTACACTTCACCAAAATAATTCCTATGTCATTATTAATAAGTTTGGGTTTGCTTAGAAAAAAAAGATTTAAAAACTTAAAGGTTATTACATCTGTGTAACTTTGTGTATATGGTTTCAAAATTCTCATACCATTGATAAAGGGGTTTGCATCCTGAGTCTAAAAAGCACCCAAAGTCCTACTAAATCTTAAACACTGACAGCAGTTAAAACTTCATCTTAATACCTGGTAGAAAATGCCAATCAAGATAGACTGAATTCGTGAGACACAGGGCCAGAAATTAAAACTATTCAACTCAAGGCCCTGGAACTATTGCAGAAGTGGTGGGCACGTGAGATTGTAAGGGCCAGTTTTGAGAGATAAAGTATGTTTGGTTTCTCTACAAATTAATCATTAACCTCAAACGCACACTGACCCAAGACCAGTATATGGGCCCCATGTGTCAGATTAACACGGTTTTCTTATAGCATTAACCCACTCCTTAATGAAAGGTTGTAAAGGTTACAAAAAGGCTTTTGGAAACTATATCTTATGGTCAAGATGATTAAAATTTTATAGATTGTTTATAAAATTTTGAAAAACAAATTTAAATGGCCTCATACTATCTTTATTAGGGCTTATTGTTGGGGAAATTAACTGTCTCTCAAAGAATAAAGGTTTTTGCCTTTTTTTTTTTTAAAATCTTTGAGTTATCACTTTGGCTGAATTAATGACTTATTTTACAATGACCTGTGATCCTATTTTGTGACATCTTATGTTTTAAATTTTTATATTTGACAAACTTTCCAAAGTCAAATTCTAACTTTGGTCCTCATCATTTTTTTATATTAGTTCCCTGAAGTTCAAAAGGGACATATTCAGCTTATTTGATATAATAAAATCATACAGGAAGTATTGTCAAATATGAAAAGTGTTTAACCTTCTTTGGATTGTATTTATATAAATGTGTTATTACTATGTGTTCCAGAATTATATGGAATTCCTGTAATTCTGATATGTCTTAGTGTATGTTATCAGTAGAAATTATGGTTATTATGTAAAATTGTTTTATGCCACAGAAGTAACCAACCTTCCTTGTCAATTGTGTCTTTAACTGTGACTGTTCTAAGTCTTATCATCCACAGTTGTTTTACTTTTATCCCTTTGAAAAGGTGGTTTTATAATCAGCATAGGACTCTGACAGGTGCTCTTGAATGCAGGTTTCTGATAACTTTGGAGATCTGCAGTTTCTGATAACACGAGAATAGAGGAAGAACTTCCAAGTCTCCCATGGAGAGCTGTAATGTTCATGAATATCAGGCATAACAGGAGTTAACTGCATGGACTAAACTAATAGAAGACTGAAATAAATCCTTTTATGATGTTTTGCTTAAAATGTTGCTGATCTTTTGTCAGAGCCAAGAAAACTTTTCTTTTGAGCTATTTATAGCTTTTAACAATTGAGTAAAATACACTCCTATTAATAAAATATGGAGCATATTTACCTCTATCTGATTTCTCCAACATTTGGAAACTAGTGTGTGTTCTTAACTTATGGCAACAAAGTTATTTGCATAAGTGCAGTAAGAATCTTTTATAACAGGGCACAATTGGAGACACTGGTTATTTTATCAAGGTTTTGACTGGAATGGCATGCTTTCAGATACAGACTCCTTTAAGGAATCAAAGTTGACTTATAGAGCCAATAAAAGCCCATTGGGAAAACTGGCCCCATACCTTGTCTACACAGTTCCTGTACAGGTTCCTAACCGGTGGTAAGTAAAGAATGCCACTTTCTGACAGGCCCAGGAGCCCCAAGTTTTCTTGGGATACAAAGGTGAGCAATTTACCCAAATGTCTAATGACACATATTCACCATTATGATCTACAGAATTCTGTCAGTGCCCTAAAAACCCTCTGAGCTTCATTATTATCCCTCCCTCCCCGTAACTCTGGCAAACCGCTGATCTTTTTACTGTCTTCACAGGTTTGCCTTTTTCAAAATGTCATTCGTCTGGAATAATGCAGTATATAGACTTCACAATTGACTAGTTTTACTTAGCAATATTAATTTGTTTTCTCCCTGTTTTTTCATGGAGATAACTCATTTCTTTTTAGTACTGAATAATACTGCATTGTCTGAACATACCATAGTTTACCTATCCATTCACCTACTGAAAGACACCTTAGTTGCTTCCAAGTTTTGGCAATTATGAACAAACTGCTATAAACATTCATGTGCAGGTTCTTCTGTGGACATAAGTTTTCAACTCACTTGAGTCAATACCAAGGAGTCTGGTTGCTGGATGACATGGCAAGAGTATGTTTCGTTTTGAAAGAAACTGCCAAACAGTCGTCCAAAGTGGCTGCAATATTCTGCATTCCCATCAGTGATGAATGAGAGTTCTTGTTGCTCAACATCCCAGACAACATTTGGTGTTGGTGTTCTGGATTTTGGTTATTCTACAGGTGTATAGTGGTATATTATCGTAATTTTAACATGTCATTCCTTAATGACATATAATGTTGAACATCTTGGCATATGCTAATTTGACATCTGTATGTCGATTTTAGTGAGATCTCTGTTCAGATATTTTGCCCATCTTTTAAATCAAGTTGTTCTCTTTAAATAGTTGTTTTAAGTATTATTTGCATATTTTGGATGACATCTCCTTATCAGATATTTTTTTTTGCAAATATTTTCTCTCAGTCTGATTTGTTTTCTCATTCTCTTGGTGATATATTTTTCAGAGCAGAAGTTTTAAATTTTTATGAAGTTCAACTTACCAGTTTTTTCATAGATTATGCCTTCATATCTAAAAATATTTGCAAATGCAAGGACATCTGGATTTTCTTCTATGCTGTCTTCTGGGAATTTTATAATTTTATGTTTTAAATTTAGGTCTGTGATTGATTTTGAGTTAATTTTTATGAAGGGTGTAGTGTCTATGTGTTCATTTTTTTTTGGATGTGGATATCCAGTTGATCCAACATGATTTATTGAAAACACTATCTTTTCTCTATTGCATTGCTTTTTCTCCTTTGTCAAAGATCAGTTGACAATTTCTGTGGGTTTCTTTCTGGGCTCTATTCTGTTTTATTAATCTGTCTCTTTTTTAACAATACCACACTGACTTAATTTGCATGTGGATGTTCAATAATTCCAGCACCATGTGTTTAAAACATTATCTTTGGTCTATTTTATTATTTTTCCTTCTTTGTCAAATATTAGTTGACTGTATTCAGGTTTATTAGTGGGCTAACTATTCTGCTCCATTGACTTGTTCATTTATTCTTTTGCCAATACCACGTTGTCTTGATTATTGTTGCTTTATAGTAAATCTTGAAGTCAGTTAGTGTCACTACTCCAAATTTGTTCTTCTTCAGTATTTTATTGGCTATTCTATATCATTTGCCTCTACACACAAACCTTAGAATCAATTTATCAATATCTACAAAATAAGTGAAATAACTTCCTAATAATTTGTCTGAGATTGCGTTGAATCTGTAGACAAAGTTGGCAAGAAGTGACAACTTGACAATATTGAGTCTTTCTATTCATGGACTGTCTCTCCATTTATTCAGTTTATGTTTTGTCTTCATTCATCAGAATGTCATCGTTTTCCTCATTCAGATGTTGGACATATGTTGTTAGGTTCATTTCTGGGGGATCTAATGTAAATGGTATTTTTGTTTTAATTTCAAATTCAAATTTTTCATTGCTGGTACATAGGACGAAATGCTTTGGTTTGGTGCAAGGTTAAAAAAGTAGACAATTGGAGCAGAATAGAATTCAGAAATTGACTCACTTGATTTATGATAAAGGTGATACTGAAGGGCCTTGGTAAAAGAAGTTCCTTTTAATTAAATAGGGCCCAATCAGTTGAAATAAAAGGAATCTTGATCTTGGGGGACTTCACACCACACACAAGTATCAATTCCTGATGGATTGTTGATCTAAATTCAAAAGTATAACAGTAAAGTTTTTATATGAAATAATATTGGAATATCCTCATGAACTAGAGACTGGCAAATATATATTCAATGAGACACATAAAGTTCTAACCATAAAGGAATAAAGATTTACTGGATTATGTTAAATTGAGAACTTGTTTATCAAAATTATTATTGTGAAAATAAGGGAAGGCATAGACAAAAGAAGATGTTTGCAATTAGTATATTTGACAAATGCCCTATATCCACAACATATAAAATGCTACAATTCATTTAATTTTAAATGAATACTCAATGAAATTAATGCTCAAATAAGAAAAGATACTCAAATAATAAAAGAGCAAAATACTCAAGAGGACAGGACAAAAGAGAATTTCTTATGATTAATAAACATATGAAACCATATTAACTGCATTAGTCCTTAGGGAAATGTAAAATAGAACTTCACACTCACTGGAGCTCCCAAGATGGAAAAAAAAGACAATACCAATTGTTAGTGTTGATGGACATCAACTAGAACCATCACACATCGCTAATGGAGTATAAATTTATGTACTCAATTTGGAAGGCTATTTGGTAGTATCTAATAAAGCTAAATATATGCATATTCTACGAACCTGCAATTCTATTTATAGGTATATACTAAAAAATGCATACTTATGTTTACAAAAAGATATTTACAGTAGTGCTCATCGTAGCACTATTCTTACAGCCTAAAACTGAATACACGTCAAATTTCCATCAAGAGTAGAATAGGAAAAATATATTGTGGCTTATTAATCAAATGAAAATTGTACATAGAAACTTGAATGGACTATATCTATACACAATAATGATGGATCTCACAAATTTAATGTTGAGTTAAAGAGACCAGATTTTATGCACATACACATACATACACACACACGTACACACATATGTTATATGTGTGAATACATTTATATAAACTTCAAAACTGGCAAAATTATTGTATGTGGAGAGAAGTCACTATGTTTAGCCTTGCGTGGCAGGGAGAAAAGACAGCAATTTCAAGGGAGTATGAACAAAGCTCCTGGGTGCTGCTAATGTTCTGTTTCTGGTTTAGGTTGTGGTTACCCAGGAGTTTTCACTTTTTAGAATTCAATGAGTTATACAATTGTGGTTTGTCCACTTTTCTGAATGTATATTATATGTTAATATAATATACAGTGTCCAATTTTTATAGCTCTGTTTTTTTTCCTGAATAGTTAAATATGTCTTTTAACTAAATGTTGATTATAATTAACATTGTTGATAGCTTTAAAAGTTTACATTTTTTATAACACCTTTTCAAAAATGACTTATATGCTGTCTTTTGTGGATTAGCACAGCCTAACATTTTATTTTTGAATTCAACTTTTATTTTAGATACAGGGGGTATATGTGCAGATTTGTTAAATCGGTATAATTTCATCCAGGTAGTGAGCATAGTACCCAAAAGGTAGTTTTTCAACACAAGCTCCCTTTCCTCTCTCCCCTCTCTAGTAGTTTGCAGTGTCTGTTGTTCCCATGTTTATGTCCATGTGTGCTCAATGTTGAGCTCCCACTTATAAGTGAGAACATGTGGTATTTGGTTTTCTGTTCCTGCATTAATTCACTTAGGATTATGGACTCCGGCTCCATCTATGGTGCTGCAAAGGACATGATCTCATTCTTTTCTGATGGCCATGTAGTATTCCATGGTATATATGTACCAAATTTTCTTTATCCAGTCCACCGTTGATGGGCACCTAAGTTGATTCCATGTTTTTGCTATTCTAAATAGTGCAATGATGAACATACAAGTGAACATGTATTTTTTTGTTTTGGTACAATGATCTCTTTTCCCTAGGGTATGTAACCAGTCATGGGATTTCTGGGTTGAATGGTAGCTTTAAGTTTTTTGAGAAATATCCAAGCTGCTTTCCACAGTGGTTGAACTCATTTACCTTCCCACCAACAGTGTATACGTGTTCCCTTTTCTCTGCAGCCTCACTAGCATCTGTCTTTTTTGACTTTTTAATAGTAACCATTCTAATCACAGATAGTATCTCATTGTGGTTTTGATTTTCATTTTTTTGATGATTAGTGAGGCTAAGTAATTTTTAATGTGTTTGTTGGCCACTTATATGTCTTATTTGGAGAATTTTTGTCTTGGTTGAAATTACTTTTGGGGACTTAGCCAAAATTATTGTGAAGTCTAATGGTTAGAAGGGTATTTTCTAGTTTTTTTCTGGGATTTTTATAGTTTGGGGTCTTACATTCAAATATTTAATCAATCTTGAGTTAATTTTTGTATATGGTGTAAGGCAGGGGTCCAGTGTCAATCTTCTGCATATGGCTAGCCAGTTATCCCAGCACCATTTATTGAATAGGGAGTCCTTTCCCCATTGCTTGTTTTAGCCAACTTTGTTAAAGATCAGATTATTATAAGCAGTATGGTTTCATTTCTTAGTTCTCTATTCTGTTGAATTGATCTATGTGACTGTTTTTGTACCAGTACAATGCTGGTTTTGTTACTGTTGCCTTATTGTGTAGTTTGAAGTCAGGTAATGTGATATTCTGGATGCTCAGTCTCTTTTTCAGTTTCATATGAATTTTAGAAAAGTTTTTTTCTAATTATATGAAGAAACTTCTTGTAGAGACCTTTCTCCTGTTTTCTTAGCTTCATTCCTAGGTATTTCATTTTCCTTTGGCTATTGTAAATGGAATTGTGTTCTTGATTTGACTCTCAGCATGGACATTATTGGTGTATAGAAATGCTACTGTTTTTGTACATTTATTTTTGTATCCTGAAGCTTTCTTTAAATCATTTTTCAGTTCTAGTAACCTTTTGACAGAATCTTTAGGATTTTTTATGTATAGAATCATATCGTCAGCAAAGGGAGATAGTTTGAATTCTTCTCTTCCTATTTGAATATCTTTTATTTCTTTCTCTTGCTTGATTGTGTTGGATAGTACCTCTGAGCCTGAAATTTATTTTATTTATTTTATTTATTTATTTATTTATTTTGAGTCAAGGTCCCACTCTTTTCTTCCAGGTGTGAGGGCTGTGCATGATCATAACACATTGAAGCCTTGACCTCTTGGGCTCAAGAAATCCTCTTGCCCCAGTCTCCTAAGTAGCTGTGACTACAGGCACATGCCACCATGTCTGGTTAATTTTTAAATTTTTTGTAGAGATGGGGTTTTGTTATGTTTCCCAGATTGGTCTCAATCTCTTGGGCTCAAGTAATCCTCGTGCCTTGGCCTCCCAAATTGCTGTGATTACAAGTTTGTGCCACTATACACAGCCCCAGCCTGACATTTTAATGGCAAATGTTAACAAATTATACAGCATTATCCTGATATCAGACTAAAATTTTAAACAGGTAACTATATATTATGACAATCTAAATACAGGCTGGGCACGGTGGCTCACGCCTATAAACCTAGCACTTTGGGAGGTTGAGGCAGATGGATCACTTGACGTCAGGAGTTCGTAACCAGCCTGGCCAACATGGTGACACATCATCTCTACTAAAAATACAACAAATTAGCCAGGCATGGTGGCAAGCGCCTGTAATCCCAGTTACTCAGGAGGCTGAGGCAGGAGAATTGCTTGAATCCAGGAGGCTGAGGTTGCACTGAGCCGAGATCGTGCCACTGCACTCCAGCCTGGGTGACAGAGTGAGACTCCATCTCAAAAATAAATAAATACATAAATAAATAAACAGATAAATACGTGTGCATGTATATTGTATATGTACACTAAATGAATGGCATCTTCAAAATTATTTTATAATGTGGAATATTCATATGTGGTTCTTAATTTCAGATAGTTTGGTACATAGGGAGATGCTTAGTTACTGTTTCAAAGCATGACATGATAATATTCCTTTGAAACCCTAATAAGCTTTCATTTTAATGACAGATACTGGTGCAATTTAAAAACTAAATTATGGGGTGGTAATAAGATAAATTCAGGGCTTCTTTTATGCATATTATTAGCAAAAGAGAATGTCTAATGTAAAACATATTGGTTTGGGTTCAGATGGGATTTAGTACATCTAATCACTACACTGATTTTACATAATTCAAACCCTTTTATCTTGCAAGTTTTATCTCCTTAAGATCTTTGCATGTGCTAAAGAGAAAGGAAAACCCACTGGCAAAATTTCACAAAACGTAAAAATAGAAGTCAATGCAATGTCTTACCCTATTGCATATGCTAAGAAACCAGAATGCGTATGGTAGCATGGCGTAATGGAAATGCTCTACTCACAGTGCTACAGCACGCAAATGAATGATACCAAGTTGGACAAGCTAGCACAATTTAAAAACAACGTTGGGAAAAATATTTGAGATCAATGTTTAAAGAAAAATAATACTTGGGACAATCTAAACAGAGAAGTCAAAACAAACAAACATAAAAAGCTTCTAGTAGAAAAACAGCCTAAGCAAAATGTGCTAGGCAAAAGACCTTACAAATAATAGGCGAGCGAGAAAAATTTTAAAAAGAAAACATTCTGAATTGAGAATGGAAGTATCCTATATATTCTAGAAAATAAAAGTTAATATAAACACCAAAATAATTGAGTAATGTTAAGCTTGTGGAAAACTGAATTTTGTTTTTTACTGTATGGAATTGAAGTTTTCAATAATTGTTACAAAACACATTCATGGATATCAGCAAGATGGCTGACTAGAGACACCTGGCATATTTCTCCCCCACAGGAAAAGAAAATCAAAGCAATAAATAAGCAGCTAACATTTGACTGGAGTGTTGAAGGGAGAGCACCAGAGTGCAGTGGGAAAGTGGAGACACTTCTGTGGTAACTGGAAGTCAAGGAGGACAGCATGGTGGCATCCAGCCTCTGCAGCCTTTTCTCCTTGACCAAGGTTGGATGTGAAGTTAGGAGGAACTTCCTATTGTGAAGGAAATATCAGAAGATCCTGTATTAGTCAGCGTTCTCTAAAGGGACAGACTATACGTATATGTATACATATATGTGAAGGGGAGTTTATTAGGAGAATTGACTCACAGGATCACAAGGTGAAGTTCCACAATAGGCCCTCTGCAAGCTGAGGAGCAAGAAAACCAGTCCCAGTCCTAAAACCTCAAAAGTATGGAAGCTGACAGTGCAGTCTTCAGTCTGTGTTCAAAGGCCTGAGAGCTTCTGGCAAATCACTGGTGTAAGTCCAAGGGTCCAAAAGCTGAAGAACTTGGAGCCTTATGTTCGAGTACAGGAAGCATCCAGCAAGGGAGAAAGATGAAGGCTGGACGACTCAGCAAGTCTCCTCATTCCATTTTCTTCTGCCTGCATTATTCTAGTCACACTGGCAGCTGATTAGATGGTCCCCACCTAGATTGAGGGTGGGTCTGCCTCTCCCAGTCCACTGACTCAAATGTTAATGTCCTTTGGCAGCACCCTCACAGACACATCCAGGAACAATCCTTTGCATCCTTCAATCTAATCAAGTTGACACTCAATATTAACGATCACAAGTTCACCCCTTGTCAACTTGAACCCAAACACCATCTCCTGAAATCATACATAATCTTCAAATAAAGACAATGATAAGGTCATAATTATGCCTAACACAATACAGCTATCCTTTCTGCAAATGGAAGCGCACTAATCCTTAACCTAAATGCTATTACATAAAGTTAACACTTAAATGCTGATAAGAAGTCAATAAATCTTATGTCACATAATAAAGGAAAAATAAGATGAAGATATAATATTTTCTTACAAGTGTAGAATACGGGATCTAATACAGGCTCTTACTAATAGAGGATCTTTTGATGATAGTTTTGTAATACAAGTGTATACATGCACAAATATGTTCTTAACAAAATAAGGAGGAAATACTTATGACATTTACAGTCCTTGTTTCTGCAACTGGTCACATGATCATAACTGGTATTGTTGACTACCTTCTTCTACTGCCCATTCTGAATTCCTTTTGCCTTCAGTAAGCACCTCAGTGGGTCATGGTTTTTTTATCTGGTGGAGTGACCCAAACCTTCATTCCTGAAGGATCTGGGCCATTTGTAGTCCTACCTGGATTGGGTTGTTTCAGTTTCCCATTGACCTTAATCACAGGGCATGGTTATACTAAGAGATGCCTTAAGGGATTTTCTCTATTCCACGCATAGTCTTCCATACCTCAATTGTGGAGTAGTAGACTGATTTCATTTTGATATTCTGGGTCAATCAACTAAGCCAACACTGTAACTCCCTTCTTAGCCTGTTGACTTAAAGGTAGGAGGAGCTCAAAGTGGCCAGGTGGTAATCTTAACATCCAGTTTAATGGAATCATTGTTGTGTGTCCTGGTGGCAGTATTCCTCCCTCTGGAACTAAGACCTCTAGGCCAGCAGAATGTAATGTCGCAGGAACAGGAAGCAGGAATTTTGCTAGTGGGTCACTAGGGGAGATGATGAGTGGTGCCACTTCCACCCCTTGATTCCTTGACCTGTGAATCTTGGCTATGGGAGGAAACAGTACCATATATTGGACACTAGTTCAGAGAATACACAGCTTTCTGGAGAACTTTGCCCCAGCCCTGCAAGGTATTGTCACCTAGTTGGCATTGTAATTGTGACTTAAAAAGGCCATTTCACCATTCTATCAATCCAGCTGCTTCAGGATGATAGGGAACAAGGTAAAACCAGTGAATTCCATGAGCATGAGCCCACTGCTGCACTTCTTTAGCTGTAAAGTGAGTGCCTTGGTCAGAGGCAATGCTGTGTGGAATACCATGATGGTGGATAAGGCATTTCATGAGTTTATGGATGGCAGTCTTGGCAGAACCATTGCATGCAGGATATTCAAACCCATATCCAGAGTAAATGTCTATTTTGTTGAGGACAAACCACTACCCTTTCCATGATGGAAGAGGTTCAGTATAATCAACCTGCCACCAAGTAGCTGGCTGATCACCCTGAGGAATGGTACTATATTGAGGGCTCAGTGTTGGTCTCTGCTCCTGACAAATGGTACTCAGTGGTGGCTGTAGCCATGTCCACCTTGGTTAGTTGAAGTCCATGTTGCTGAGCCAATGTGTAACCTCCATTCCTGCCACCATGGCCACTGTGTTCAGGGGCCTATTGGGCAATGACAGAGGTGGCTAAGGAAAGAGGCTGAGTGGTGTCCAAGAATGATTCATTCTATCGACTTGATGATTAAAATTCTCTTCTGCTGAGGTCAACTTTTGTTGAGTACTCACATGGGATATAAATATCTTCACAGGTTTTGACTACTCATAAAGGTCCGTCTACATACCTCTTCCCCAAATTTCTTTGTTAACAAATTTTCAATAATGCTTTTATACAAATCCCTGATTATCCAGCCAAATCACTGGCTACAGCCCATGAGTCAGTATATAATCACACATCTGGTCATTTCTCCTTCCAAGCAACGTGCACAACCAGGGGCACTTCTTGAAGTTCTGCCCACTGGGATGATTTCCCTTTGCCACTGTCCAGGGGTGTCCTAGAAAGTGGCTATTGTGCTGCAGCTTTCCACTTTTGAAGTGGTGCCTGCATATCATGCAGAACCATCTGTAAACCAGGCCCTGGTCTTCTCTTTCTCTGTCAATTGATCATAGGGAACTTCCCATGAGATCATTGGTGCAGGCTGGGGGAGAGAAGACAGGGTGACAGGAATGGAGACCCATGGGCAGTTGAACCACTTCCTCATGTAACTTGCTTGTGCCTTCAGGACCTGCTTAAGCCCAGTTATGTATATACCACTTCCATTTGATGATGAAATGCTGCTGTGCATGCCCCACTTTATGGCCAGATTGGTCAGAAAGAACACAGCTCATGATAGGCAGTTCAGGTTGCATGGTGACTTGATGACCCATAGTCAAAGTCTAGTTTCTACCAAATCCTTATGAGGATGCAGAGATAAAGAAACTCATATAAACTGTTGGTGGGAATGTAAACTAGCACAGGACTATGGAGAAGAATATAGATATTACTCAATAAACTATAAATATAACTGCATGTGATTTAGCAATCCCACTAATGAGCATTTATCCAAAAAAGGAAATCATTATACCTAAGAGACATCTGCACCCCTGTGTTTATTGCAGCATTAGTAGCCAAGATATAGAATCAACCTAGGTTTCCAAAAACAAAATAATTTATAAATAAAATATGGTATGTATACTTTATAAATTATTAGCTGTAAAATAATAAAAGCCTATAATTTGTATCAACATTGATAGAACGGGAGGACATTATGTTAAGTGAAATAAGCCAGGAGCAGAAAGCACTGAATGTTCTCACTTATAAGTGGAACCTAAAAAAAAAGTTGATTTCATAGATAGAAAAGAGGATACTAGAGGCTGAGGAAGGTAAAAGAAGGGAGGAATAGAGAGAGATTTGTTAAAGGAAATAAAATTACATCTAGATAGGTGGAATAAGTGCTAGTTTTCTATACTGCCATAGGATGACTATAGCTAACAATAATATATAGTTTCAAATAGCTAGAAAGAGTATATTAAATATTTCCCACACAAAGAAATGAGTAATGTTTGACCCGATGGATAGGCTAATCACCCTGATTGGATCACTATACATTATACATACTGAAACAACACTGTGTACCCCATAAATATGTGCAATTATTATTTGTCAATTAAGAAAATAAATTGTAAAAAACACATTGATGCTTTACTGCTGAAAAAACTATTTTAACCCTGTGTATAAATCCAATCTACCATGAAGAAGTTTGAACAATTTTCTCTCACTTTACATGAACTACACTTAATACAGAATATTAAATAATGATCATCATTAACTCATTTTCATTGGTATGGTACGTTGTGTCTAAAGCATACTGGAAATAAAACCCCATGGTAATTTTGCATAATTTTTCAAAATTTGGAAGTCTTGTTATGAGCAACATTTTAAAATTGTATAACAGAACTTTTCTAATGTTAGTACCTTTGGCCAAAATTTAAGCTAGGAGAAAAAGGTCACACCCATCAGACTCAAAAGAGCAAAACTTAAAATAATACACAATTAAGCAGTGTAATTAACTCCTAAACTTATACAATAGCAAAGAAAGATGAGAGGTAAGCCAGCCAGAGGAGGCAGGAGTTACAATTTCTCAAAGTCCATCAAGAAAAGGTAAATGCTAACAATATAGAATGTAGTTGATAGAGTTTTCCTACATTGTATGATCTCTCAGGGAAATTGGATCCTTATTGTGGTCAGAGGAGAAAAGGCATTTCTTCTATCAGTATGCACAACAGCAGTTACATGAACTGCATATATCATGTTTTACCATACATTGTCCCAAAGAGATGGCCATTAGACCCTTTCTTCTATGGAATCAACTAGGTTATAGTTCTGATTTCTTTTCCTATACTGTTAGGCATTTAGGGCCTGGGCTGCTAATCATATCGAGGATGGCCAGATAAGTAGATGCTAGATTACTTAGGCAAAACATATATACTAAACTTTTTAGAAGATCTAGCTGAAAACTAATTATTCCATTAAGGTGAAATACAGCATTTGCCCCTAAATTCAAATTTGCTGCACTCATAATAGATTTCATCACCCAGCTTCATACGTAAGGTCTGTAGATTTCTACTATCTAAGTAAGCAGTCAGGTTGCAAAATACAGTTTCCTGCAAGACACCAGACCTCAAAAAAGTTTGAACTCAAGCAATCTTTATCAAGATAATTTCACCTTCTTCAATTCATTGAGAAAACTGATGTCATTTTGTGTGAGACTCACTGTCTCCCAATTATTTTCATCGACATCTTCTGTTCACTTCTTATCTTCAATTGAATAGAATTGGCTATGAGTCCAGGTAAAGGTCAATTCCATTATAACTTTTGATTGCTACCTTTCTCATATTAGGAATCTCATCTAATAAATTATCTCTCTTTCTCTCTCATGGTTTTTTTTTTGTTTGTTTGTTTTTTGTTTTTGTTTTTTTTTTTTGGTCTTCCCTTTCTCCTAAAACTATGCCCAAGTCTTACTCACTTTAAGCAACAGCAATAACAACAAATAGGCCTAATTTAAAATGTCCCATTCTGATCACTGTCATTTCTCTTTTGGTTTCTTAAAACATGCGTCTTAGTATTTTCTACATTCACATTCTTTCTTATCTTTCTTGCAATTCTCAGTACACTACAGTCTGATTTCTGCCACAACCACTCCACTAAAACTCTATTTATGAGAATATGATCATTTACATATTGTCAAGTCCATGAATATTCTATAAATTTGCAGTATTTTTTATTGTACTTCTCTTCCATATTTTATACTAAGATTATTAATTATTCTTAAAACAAGTTTTTTATCACACTTCTTTCTTCTGTCTCTCTTTAGTTTTGAACATCTTTTTTTGATCTCCTTCATTGCCTTTTGAACTGCTTACATCTTAAAATTTAAGGTTTCACTAAAACTTTATACTTGTCCTACTATTCATCTGTCCCTATAGCCTCCTTGGAAATATTTAGTCATTTTATTGTTTCAACCAAGACTTTTTTTGTCATGGATAACATATGTATATGTGTATGTTATACATATAATCATGTTGGTTTTCTTTTCTTTTTGAGACACAGTCTCGCTGTTGCCCAGGCTGGAGTGCAGTGGTGTGATCTTGGCTCACTGCAAGCTCTGCCTCCCAGGTTCATGCCATTTTCCTGCCTCAGCCTCCCGAGTAGCTGGACCACAGGCGCCTGCCACCACGCCCAGCTAATTTTTTGTATTTTTAGTAGAGACGGGGTTTCACCGTGTTAGCTAGGATGGTCTCAATCTCCTGACCTCGTGATCTGCCCGCCTCGGCCTCCCAAAGTGCTGGGATTACAGGCGTGAGCCACCGCGCCTGGCACATGTTGGTTTTCTTATTTACACTTACTTATATGTAACATTCCTCGTTTAGCCAGAGTGGAAATCTCTTTCTCAAAATGATACCCACTTAATAGAATCCCAATCCTTCTTTTGTCAATATTTGAATTGTTAAAGAAGGAATGCAAAATGAAAAAGTCAATAGTCAGTCTTCTAGTTCCAAAATATCATTTTCTGAGTCCACATCAAGAAGATAGGCTCAAAAGTCAATGCTTTTAAAATACAAAAATATAAATACCAAAAGTTTTCCTTTTCATTAAAAAATAATTTTACTGTAGAGTACAGGGTGGAAAAAGGATTCAATATATGATATAATTGAAATTCCCTTCAAAAAGAAAAAGGAAATAGGTAGGCTTCTCCAATATGGGAGGAGGTTTATTCAGATTCCTGCAACTGGGATGAACAAACTGAGAGGACCTCAAAACCCAGTTTCAAAACCTCCTTGGTCTTGGCCAGAGAGATTCAGTGTAGTACAAACACTCATAAATCACAGATATATTGAAGGATAATATAAGACTCTCCAGGTTGTTATTGATGTTTGTTTTGTTGTTTTGGTTGTTCTCTTCCTATCAGTATTGCATATATCAGGAAGGGTAAAAGTGTTGCTGAAAAAAAGGGGTCCCAATTCAGACCCCAATAGAGGAATTCAAGGAAAGTGACAGAGTGCAGAAAGAAAGAGATATTTTATTGAAAGCTACTCAGTTACAGAGTAGGGATTCCTCATAAAGCAAGAGGAGAAATGTGCCAGCTTTGTTTTAAACATTTTTTATATAGGGGTCTTACCAATGCAAAAGCTAAGCTAAGTTATGTCTGTGTTTAAGTGAGCTGACAGTATGACAAAATTTAGTACTTTGCTGATTTAAAGAAAGTCTTCTTTGCCTTGTAGTGTATGAATACATCAAAGCATGACTATAACTATAGCATATGTTGTCATACAGTATCAGAACATCTAGACATTCTGCTTTTTTAGGAGTTCATCCTCACAACCATTTCCAAACTACTTTGTTAGCTATCAGCATCTTATGACCCGTGGGTCATGACTGGCAAGGAATGTACCTTGCTAGCTTTAAGATGGAGTTGATTTTTAAATGGTGTCACCCTGGCTCCCCGATGCTCCTGTTTTCCTAACATAATCCCTTCTCTACTTATGAGAGAACCCTTAATCTTAGGGAGAGATGAAGGGCCAAGGTCATTCTGTACCTTCTTTCTGCTGACAGTGTACGTTGATCTCTGTGATAGGATTCTCTCATAAGGGTTTGCAATTAACCTCGGGGAGCCAGGGGAAGTCCTTTCGCATGTGATGTCCTGATGATTCTATAGACATAGGCCCTGCCTAGTATTGGAGGATTAAAAAATCTCTGGTTGCCTGCTCTAAGGGGCCTAAAGGTGGGATAACTTTATTTTCTGTGTCCGATGATGGGATGGATAGGAAGCCTTGTGCCAGCATTATCTTTATATATAATTGTTGTATTCTAGAAGACACAAACTTTACCAAGAGGTAAAGTAAGAGCCAAATATTAGTAATAACAAGATAGCTATTAATGGTCCTAGGAAGGGCAAAAGCCAAATGAGACTTGGGAGGGTGCTTTTAATGGTTGATAAGATAGAGTTGAGATTGGTGCCTTGGTTATGTATGTATACAACCAAGCAGTTTGTTCATATATTCTCTGTATACTGTCTTCTATTTGACCTGAGGTGTTTATACAAGTGCAGCAGGTTTTAAAGATCATAGTGCATGCTCCCCTTTTTCAACCAATAAGTAATCTAGTGCTAATTTATTATTCATTGCTGTATCTGCTAAGGAATGATGGGAAAGTTTTAATTTATCTAAAGTATCCCCGTTTTATGAGACATTGTGTAGGATGAAGAAATAAAGTTTTGAAGAGTTGCCTCGTGATAGGCAAATTTTACCCATGGGGCCAATAAACCAATGGCAGCCTCAATCCCAGCCAATTTAAGGTTGATTGCCTACTTAACACCCAGATAAGTGATGTTATATAATTGTATATTAGAGGGCTTTGCTTGTTTTATTGTACATTAACCCCTGAACCAAATGTTATCAATACACTGGTAACCATGGGTTTAATAATCCCAAATGAGAAACAAGTTATAGGCTGATTGAATAGGTGACAACATTGCCATAGGTATCCATTGGGGGTGCAAACCTGTTTGGAATGAGAGTTGTCAAGACGGTTGAGTACCTGTAGGAGGGATTAAGGATGTTACTTATCTGTTTATTTGCAAAACAACAGATTTAGGTCTTCTAGGGGTTCACAAGTGTAGGTCGTGGTGTCTTTCTCAGGTACCTATGTGGACGCATAAGAAACAGGCTTAATCTTGGACAAGTATACTCAGCTAGTGGTTCCTCAAAGTTTAATAGCAATGGAGAGACTCTTCAATTTTGATTGATCTTCAGAGTATCCTTCTTTTCAAGATTTTTATAAGGCTAAGTCTTTTGGTTGAACAGAGGAGCTATGAATATTTATGGAATTGGTCCTTACACATATATATTGAACAAACATGCATGTAATATATGAATCTGTTTACCTTGGGGTGGAGACTTAATCTTGCCTGGCATGGTCTTATATCCTGTTTACAATTTGATATTTTGTTGAGATTGTCTGTTCTGTCAGTCTTATAATTTCTGTTTTAATGTTAATGCTGGTCAGTTGTCCTTGAATTGCAAGGTGGGGGAAAGGTATAGTGAGGCATGTCTGACATCCAGCTTCCTGTTATGGCCAGAACTAGTTTTTTAGGTGTTTGTTGGGGATTCCCTTTGGCCAAGAGGAGGGTCTATTCTGTTGGGGGGGCAGAATTAGGATTTTGTTTTTTTTTTAAATTTTTTTTATTTCAAAAGGTTTTTGTGGGAACAGGTGGTGTTTGGTGCCATTAATAATTTTTTATTGGTGATTTCTGAGATTTTGATGCACCCATTACCCAAGCAGTGTAAACTGTACCCAATGTGTAGTCTTTTATCCTTTGCCATTCCCTACCCATTCCCCTGAGTCCCCAAAGTCCAATGTATTATTCTTATGCCTTTGTGTCCTTATAGATTAGCTCCCACATATTAATGAGAACATACAATGTTTGGTTTTCTATTCCTGAGTCACTTTACTTAGAAAAATAGTCTCCAATTCCATCCAAGTTGCTGCAAATGTCATTATTTCATTCCTTTTTATGGCTGAGTAGTATTCCATGGTATGTATGTACCATATTTTCTTTATCCACTAATTGATTTGTGGGCATTTGGGCTGGTTCTGTATTTTTGCAATTGCAAACTGTGCCACTGTAAACATTTTTGTGTAATTATCTTTTTCGTATAATGACTTCTTTTCCTCTGTGTGGTTACCTAGTAGTGAAATTGCCATCTATGACAAGCCCACAGTCAATATTCCATAAGGTATGCCCTTTCTATGCCAATTTTGCTGAGAGTTTTGATCATAAAGGGATGCTAGATTTTTTCAAATGCTTTTCTGTGTCTACTGAGATGATCATGTTATTTTTGTTTTTAATTCTGTTTATGTGGTGTATCACATTTATTGACTATGTATGTTAAACCATCCCTGCATTCCTGGTATGAAACCCACTTGATCATGGTGGATTATCTTTTTGATATGCTATTGGATTCAGTTTGGTAGTATTTTGTTGAGGAGATTTGCATCTATGTTCATCAGGGATATTGGTGTGTACTTTTCTTTTTTGGTTATGTCCTTCCCTGGTTTTGGTATTAGGGTAATACTGGCTTTATAGAATGATTTAGGGAGGATTCTCTCTTTATCCTTTGGAATAGTGTCAATAGGATCAGTACCAATTCTTTTTCGAATGTTTGATAGAATTCAGCTGTGAATCACAGTGGTCCTCGACTTTGTTTGTTGGCAATTTGTAATTACTATTTAAATCGTACTGCTTGTTATTGGTCTGTTCAGACATTCTATATATTCCTGGTTTAATCTAGGAGGGTTTTATATTTCCCAAAATGTATCTATCTCCTCTAGGTTTTCCAGTTTAAGCATGTAAAGGTGTTCACAGTAGCATTGATTTTTTTTTTTTTTTTTGTATTTCTGTGGTATTGATACAGGAGCTAGAAAGAAATTATTTAGGCAGATAGTGAAGGTAAGAGAGTCCTCGGTAAGGATCCCTTTTAATAAAAAGCAGCTCCCAAATTATTTCTTTTCTAACACAAAGCAGCCTAAAGCTCAAGCTTCAAGCATAGGTAAGCAAGTTAAAAGCTTGCATAGGTAAGTGCCGGCACCTGTGCCTATAGACAAGGGATACCTGAAATGCAAGTGTATTCAACATGGGGATTCTCCTCTTTTCTTTGTTGCCACATGTGCAGTAAAAAAGCAGGCAACGTGGCACCAGCCAGGTAGAGACCCCATCTGCATAATAAAAGATTACAGTGAGATGGCCAGCTTCTTTGCATGCTATGCAAATGGAACATTTGGTCCAACCAATCTCTTGTGCCCTATGTATATCAGGTACTGCCTCCACAAGCTCATTTATAAAACCCCATGCATTTCACCATGGAACCAGAAGACCCACTCAGAAGTCTCTCTCTCTCTCTGCAGGAGAGAGAGCTTTTCTCTTTTCTCTCATATATTAAAACTTCTGTCTTAAACTCACTTCTTGTGTGTCCACGTCCTTGATTTTCTTGGCATGAGACAATGAACCTCGGATATTTACCTCAGACAATGAAGCCTCTTTAGTATCAGTTGTAATATCTCCCATTTTGTTTCTGATTGAGCTTATTTGCATCTTCTCTCTTCTTTTCTTCATTAAATTCATTAATGGTCTTTCAATTTTATATATATTTTCAAAAAACCAGATTTTTGTTTCATTTATCTTTTGTATTTTTTTTTGTTTCAATTTCATTTAGTTTTGCTCTGACCTTTGTATTTCTTTCCTTCTGTTGGGTTTGTGTTTGGATTGTTTTCGTTTTCCCAATTTCATGAGGTGTGACCTTAGATTGTCTATTTGTGCTCTTTTAGACTTTTTGATGTAGGCATTTAATGCTATGAACTTTCCTCTTAACACTGCTTTTGCTGTATCCCAGAGGTTTTGATAGGTTGTATCACTATTATCATTAAGTTTGAAGAACTTTTAAATTTCTATCTTGATTTCATTGTTTACCCAGTGATCACTCAGGAGCAGGTTATTTAATTTCCATATATTGCCTGGTTTTGAGGGTTCCTTTTGGAGTTGATTTCCAATTTTATTTCACTGTGGTCTGAAAGAGTACTTGATATAATTTTGATTTTCTTAAATTTACTGAGACTTGTTTTGTGGTCTATCATATGGTCTATCTTGGAGAATGTTTCTCGTGGTGATGAAAAGAATGTATATTCTGCAGTTGTTGGGTAGATGTTCTGTAAATATCTTTTAAGTCCATTTGTTGTAGGGTATATTTTAAGTCCATTGCTTCTTTGTTGATTCTCTGTCTTGACCTGTCTAGTGTTGTTAGTGGAGTATTAAAGCCCCCCACTATTATTGAGTTGTTTTCTATCTCATTTTTTAGGTCTTTTAGTAATTGTTTTATAAATTTTGAAGCTCCAGTGTTAGGTGCATATATATTTAGAACTGTGACATTTTCCTATTGGACTAGTTCTTTCATCATTTTATAATGTCCCTCTTTGTCTTTTTTAACTGTTGTTACTTTAAAGTTTGTTTTTTTTCTGATATAAGAATAGCTACTTGTACTTGCTTTTGGTGTCTATTTGTATGGAATATATTTTTTCACCCCTTTACCTTAAGTTTATGTGAGACCTTATGTGTTAGGTTAGTCTCTTGAAGACAGCCGAACCCTGGTTGGTGAGTTCTTATCCATTCTGCCATTCTGTATATTTTACGTGGAGCATTCAGGCCATGTACATTCAATGTTAGTATTGATATTTGAGATACTATTCTATTCATCATGCTATTTTTTGCCTGTATACCTGTTTTATTTTTCATTGTGTTATTGTTATATAGGTCCTGTGAGATTTATGCTTTAAGGAGGTTCTATTCTGGTGTACTTCAAGTATTTGTTTAAAAATTTAGAGCTCCTTTTAGCTGTTCTTGTAGTGCTGACTAGGTAGTGGCAAATTCTCTCAGCATTTGTTTCTCTGGAAAAGACTGAATCTTTCCTTCATTTATGAAGCTTAGTTTTGCTGGATACAAAATTTTGGGCTGATAATTGTTTTGTTTAAGGAAGCTGTGAAGCCAGAAAATCTGAGACAGGTCTCAGTTAATTTAGAAAGTTTATTTTGCCAAGGTTGAGGATGCACCTGTGACACAGCCTCAGGAGGTTCTCACAACATGTGCACAAGGCAGTTGAGGTAGAGCTTGGTTTTATATATTTTAGGGAGACATGACACGTCAATTAATATATGTAGGCAGTACATTCGTTCTGTCCAGAAAGGTGGGGACAATCCAAAGCAAGCCCCCGCCCCTCCCCACCCCAGACATTCAGGTAACAGGTAGATAAGAGAAAAATGGTTCCATTCTTTTTTTTTCTTTATTATTATTATTATACTTTAAGTTTTAGGGTACATGTGCACAATGTGCAGGTTAGTTACACATCTATACATGTGCCATGATGGTGTGCTGCACCCATTAACTCGTCATTTAGCATTAGGTATATCTCTTAATGCTATCTCTCCCCCCTCCCCCCACCCCACAACAGTCCACAGAGTGTGATATTCCCCTTCCTGTGTTCATGTGTTCTCACTGTTCAATTCCCATCTATGAGTGAGAACATGCAGTGTTTGGTTTTTTGTCCTTGCGATAGTTTATTGAGAATGATGATTTCCAATTTCATCCATGTCTCTACAAAGGACATTAACTCATCATTTTTTATGGCTGCATAGTATTCCATGGTGTATATGTGCCACATTTTCTTAATCCAGTCTATCATTTTTGGACATTTGGGTTGGTTCCAAGTCTTTGCTATTGTGAATAGTGCCGCAATAAACATACATGTGCATGTGTCTTTATAGCAGCATGATTTATAGTCCTTTGGGTATATACCCAGTAATGGGATGGCTGGGTCAAATGGTATTTCTAGTTCTAGATCCCTGAGGAATTGCCACACTGACTTCCACAATGGTTGAACTAGTTTACAGTCCCACCAACAATGTAAAAGTGTTCCTATTTCTCCACATCCTCTCTAGCACCTGTTGTTTCCTGACTTTTTAATGATTGCCATTCTAACTGGTGTGAGATGGCATCTCATTGTGGTTTTGATTTGCATTTCTCTGATGGCCAGTGATGATGAGCATTTTACAGAGAACACCCCAAAGATACTCCTCGAGAAGAGCAACTCCAAGACACATAATTGTCAGATTCACTAAAGTTGAAATGAAGGAAAAAATGTTAAGGGCAGCCAGAGAGAAAGGTCGGGTTACCCACAAAGGGAAGCCCATCAGACTAACAGCGGATCTCTCGGCAGAAACTCTACAAGCCAGAAGAGAGTGGGGGCCAATATGCAACATTGTTAAAGAAAAGAATTTTCAGCCCAGAATTTCATATCCAGCCAAACTAAGCTTCATAAGTGAAGGAGAAATAAAATACTTTACAGACAAGCAAATGCAGAGAGATTTTGTCACCACCGGGCCTGCCCTAAAAGAGCTCCTGAAGGAAGCACTAAACATGGAAAGGCACAACTGGTACCAGCTGCTGCAAAATCATGCCAAAATGTAAAGACCATCGAGACTAGGAAGAAACTGCATCAACTAATGAGCAAAATAACCAGCTAACATCAAAATGACAGGATCAAATTCACACATAACAATATTAACTTTAAATGTAAATGGACTAAATGTTCCAATTAAAAGACACAGACTGGCAAATTGGATAAAGAGTCAAGACCCATCAGTGTGCTGTATTCAGGAAACCCATCTCACGTGCAGAGACACACATAGGCTCAAAATAAAAGGATGGAGGAAGATCTACCAAGCAAATGGAAAACAGAAAAAGGCAGGGGTTGCAATCCTAGTCTCTGATAAAACAGACTTTAAACCAGCAAAGATCAAAAGAGACAAAGAAGGCCATTACATAATGGTAAAGGGATCAATTCAACAAGAAGAGCTAACTATCCTAAATATATATGCACCCAATACAGGAGCACTCAGATTCATAAAGCAAGTCCTGAGTGACCTACAAAGAGACTTAGACTCCCACACAATAATAATGGGAGACTTTAACACCCCACTGTCAACATTAGACAGATCAACGAGACAGAAAGTTAACAAGGATACCCAGGAATTGAACTCAGCTCTGCACCAAGCGGACCTAATGGACATCTACAGAACTCTCCACCCCAAATCAACAGAATATACATCTTTTTCAGCACCACACCTCACCTATTCCAAAATTGACCACATAGTTGGAAGTAAAGCACTCCTCAGCAAATGTAAAAGAACAGAAATTATAACAAACTGTCTCTCAGACCACAGTGCAATCAAACTAGAACTCAGGATTAAGAATCTCACTCAAAACTGCTCAACTACATGGAAACTGAACAACCTGCTCCTGAATGACTACTGGGTACATAACGAAATGAAGGCAGAAATAAAGATGTTCTTTGAAACCAATGAGAACAAAGACACAACATACCAGAATCTCTGGGACACATTCAAAGCAGTGTGTAGAGGGAAATTTATAGCACTAAATGCCCACAAGAGAAAGCAGGAAAGATCCAAAATTGGCACCCTAACATCACAATGAAAAGAACTAGAAAAGCAAGAGCAAACACAATCAAAAGCTGGCAGGAGGCAAGAAATAACTAAAATCAGAGCAGAACTGAAGGAAATAGAGACACAAAAAACCCTTCAAAAAGTTAATGAATCCAGGAGCTGGTTTTTTGAAAGGATCAACAAAATTGATAGATCGCTAGCAAGACTAATAAAGAAAAAAAGAGAGAAGAATCAAATAGACACAATAAAAATGATAAAGGGGATATCACCACAGATGCCGCAGAAATACAAACTACCATCAGAGAATACTACAAACACCTCTACGCAAATAAACTAGAAAATCTAGAAGAAATGGATAAATTCCTCAACACATACACCCTCCCAAGACTAAACCAGGAAGAAGTTGAATCTCTGAATAGACCAATAACAGGATCTGAAATTGTGGCAATAATCAATAGCTTACCAACCAAAAAGAGTCCAGGACCAGATGGATTCACAGCCAAATTCTACCAGAGGGACAAGGAGGAACTGGTACCATTCCTTCTGAATCTATTCCAATCAACAGAAAAAGAGGGAATCCTACCTAACTCATTTTATGAGGCCAGCATCATCCTGATACCAAAGCCGGGCAGAGACACAACCAAAAAAGAGAATTTTAGACCAATATCCTTGATGAACATTGACGCAAAAATCCTCAATAAAATACTGGCAAACCGAATCCAGCAGCACATCAAAAAGCTTATCCACCATGATCAAGTGGGCTTCATCCGTGGGATGCAAGGCTGGTTCAGTATATGCAAATCAATAAATGTAATCCAGCATATAAACAGAACCAAAGACAAAAACCACATGAGTATCTCAATAGATGCAGAAAAGGCCTTTGACAAAATTCAACAATGCTTCATGCTAAAAACTCTTAATAAATTAGGTATTGATGGGATGTATCTCAAAGTAATAAGAGCTATCTATGACAAACCCACAGCCAATATCATACTGAATGGGCAAAAACTGGAAGCATTCCCTTTGAAAACTGGCACAAGACAGGAATGCCCTCTCTCACCACTCCTATTCAACGTAGTGTTGGAAGTTCTGGCCAGGGCAATTAGGCAGGAGATGGAAATAAAGGGTATTCAATTAGGAAAAGAGAAAGTCAAATTATCCCTGTTTGCAGACGACATGATTGTATGTCTAGAAAACCCCACTGTCTCAGCCCAAAATCTCCTTAAGCTGATAAGCAACTTCGGCAAAGTCTCAGGATACAAAATCAATGTACAAAAATCACAAGCATTCTTATACACCAACAACAGACAAACAGAGAGCCAAATCATGAGTGAACTCCCATTCACAATTGCTTCAAAGAGAATAAAATACCTAGGAATCCAACTTACAAGGGATGTGAAGGACCTCTTCAAGGAGAACTACAAACCACTGCTCAATGAAATAAAAGAGGATACAAATGGAAGAACATTCCATGCTCATGGGTAGGAAGAATCAATATCATGAAAATGGCCATACTGCCCAAGGTAATTTACAGATTCAATGCCATCCTCATCAAGCTACCAATGCCTTTCTTCACAGAATTGGAAAAAACTACTTTAAAGTTCATATGGAACCAAAAAAGAGCCCACATCACCAAGTCAATCCTAAGCCAAAAGAGCAAAGCTGGAGGCATCACACTACCTGACTTCAAACTATACTACAAGGCTACAGTAACAAAAACAGCATGGTACTGGTACCAACACAGAGATATAGATCAATGGTTCCATTCTTTTGAGTTTCTGTTTCTGATGTCTTTCCAAAGGAGGCAATCAGAATATGCACCTATCTCTGTGAGCATAGGGATGATTTTGAATAGAATGAGAGGTGGATTTTCCCTGAGCATTTTTCAGCCTGAAGGTTCCCAAGATATTTTCCTTTTACAAAGCCAAAAATAGGACCGCAGTCCCCTCTAGCTTATGGGGTTTCTGCTGAGAAATCTGCTGTTAATCTGATAGGTTTTCCTTTTTAGGTTACCTAGTATTTTTGCCTCACAGCTCCTAAGATTATTTTATTTGTCTTGACTTATATAACTTGATGAATATGTGCCCAGGTGATGCTCTTTTTTTGATGAATTTCCCAGGTGTTCTTTGAACTTCTTGTATTTGGATGTATAGATCTCTAGCAAGGCCAGGGAAGTTTTCTTTGATTATTTTTCTCAAATATGTTTTCCAAACTTTTAGATTGCTCTTCTTCCTTGGGAACACCAATTATTCTTAGGTTTGGACATTTAACGTAGTCTCAACCTTCTTGGAGGCTTTTCTTAAAATTCTTTTGTCTTTGTCTTTGATGGATTGCGTTAATTCAAAAGTCTAGTCTTTGAACTCTTAAGTTCTGTCTTCTGTTTGTTCTGTTCTGTTGCTGAGACTTTCCAGTGCATTTTGCATTTCTCTAAGTGTGTCCTTGATTTCCAGAAGTTGTGATTGTTTTTTATTTATGCTATTTATTTCACTGAAGAATATTCCTTTCATATGCTATATCATGTCTTTGATTTCTTTAAGTTGGATTTACCTTTCTCTGGGATCTCCTTGATTAGCTTAATAGTCGACCTTCTGAATTTTTTTTCTGGCAATTCAGAGATTTCATCTTGGTTTAAATTCATTGCTGGTGAGCTGGTATGATCTTTTGGGGATGTTAAAGAACCTTGTTTTGTCATATTTTGTCCCATGAGATACTCCCTTGATGTGGTGTTCTCCCACTTCCCCTAGGAATGGGGCTTCCTTAGAGCCAAACTGTAGTGATTGTTTTTGCTCTTTTGGGTCTAGCCACACAGCAGAGCTACCAGGCTCTAGGTTGGTACTGGGGAGTGTCTGCATAGGGTCCTGTAATGTGATTCATCTTCAGGTCTTGCAGCAGTGGATACTGGCAACTTGCTCCAGTGGAGGTAGCAGGGGTGTGAAGTGGACTCTGTTAGGATCCTTGGTTGCGTTTTTGTTTACTGTTCTTTTTTGTGTGTTGGTTGGCCTCTAGCCAGGAGGTGGCACTTTCAAGAGCACATAAGCTGTGGTCCTATAGGCAGGATGCAAACTTGCGCTAGGGACACCTGGTTAAGTATTCAGGTTTCTCAGGCAGTAGGCAGGACCATAGAGCTCCCAAGAGATTATGACCTTTTTCTTTGGCTACCAGGGCAGGTACAGAAAGACCACCAGGTGAAGACAGGGATAGGCATATCTGCGTTCAGCCTCTCTTTGGGCATGGCTTGCTGTGGCTGCTGTGTGAGATTGGGGTGTGATTCCCAGTTCAGTGGAGTTATATTCCCACATGGCTGCCTCTGCTGAGTCATACAGGCCACCAGGGAAGTGGGGGAAAGTTGGCAGTCACAGGCCTCACCCCACTCCCGTGCAGCCCACAGTCATAAAGGCCAGTCTCACTCCCACTGTGCCTCCCAACAGCACTGACTCTATTTCCAGGCAGCCAGTGACCAAGGCTTAGAACCTGCCCCAGACCACAAGCCTCCCCATTACAAATGCAAGCAGACTCACAGTTTTTCAGCATCTAAGGGAGCCTGCAGCCATGATCCAGTTTCTTTAAAGGTCTGTGGATTCTCCCAGCTTTCCTGGTATGTTCCTGCAGCAGTTCTTGGAGAAAAAATTCACAGTGTGATTCTCCACACACTGCTCTGTCCATCCAAGTGGGAGCTGCAAGCTAGTCCTGCTGCCTCCTATCTGTCGTCTTAATCCTCACTCCTATCTGTTTTATTATTTTTATTCGTTTATATTTACTCCCTTTATCTCAAGATATATCAAAGGCAGTAGTGGTGGCCAAGCTATTAATTGTCTCATAATGTTCTCTATCATATATCCTTTCTCTAACTCATAAACCGTATATCATGTGATCTCTCTGACTTCAGAGGGCCCTGAATACTCACGTCCCTTTTGTCTCAGGTATTTTTTCAATTTAGTTATTTAAATGAACTCCTTGGTTTTTAGCTTGGCAAATGGACAATACAAAAAAGATTGCATACCCCAGTCCCATTTACAGCTGGATATGCTCATGTAAATAGGTTATGAAAAATGGTATGTAGCAGAAATGGTGCTTGCAATGTGAATAAATGGGACATGCCCTTCTCCAGGTCTTAATACTACTAAATAAAATGCAGGAATAATAGCAAAGACCCTGTAAGTATCCTCTACTATTGTTGGAAAACAACAAAATAGAAGGTACCTGGTGATGCATCATATAAGCTCTCATTCAGCTATCATTAGGCTGTGTTTGAAAGAAAAAAAAACCTTAAAAGTTGTTTTATTACTATTATTGGGTTTACTGCTTCATACATCTGTATTTAATTCAACTTAATTCTAATAAATGCAGCCCTTTATTTAAGAGCGAAATGGTTGTACTCTCATTATTCATTACTTACACACATAAAGCTTTACATCTCTGAAATTTTGCTTCTCCTGTTTCTTCCATTAAGAGCACTTTCTCCATCTTATTTATTTATGCATCAAACCTCAGTTCAAGTATCATGTTTTGCTAACAATAAACCATTCTCTTAATTCTCACATTGGGATGAGGTGCTCTTTATGCTCCCATAATGCCCTGTGCATATTTATATCATGGCAATCTCAACATTGTACTGAAAGTATTCATTTGTGTATCAGTTCCATCCATTAGATTGAAGGCTTCTTTCAAAAAGTGACTTTGGCATTTGTGTTTAATTCCAAATACCTAACACAGCACCTGGTATGTAGTAAAAATATTAATATTTCCAAAATAAACATATATGTCTGAGATTATAGCATTTATGTTGACTTCATTGCATTTTGAATATATCTGTTTTCTGCTGACTTGTATATGCAAATCAATTTTAAGAAGAAAATGCATATAAAATGTATTTTTAAAATTCCTAAACCATTTTCCAAAAGAAGTAATGAAAAAGTGACTTCTTTGTGGGAAAAAAAATCTGAATAATGTGATCATCACTTTATTTTCTACTTAATATAACATTAAGTAATATTTGGTTTGGGATCACCCTGGTTTTCTGGCTACTTGCTGGTCAGTTTTGTTTCATTTAATTGTATCAACAACCTATTGTTTAATCTCATGCCTGGAAAAGAGATGGGATTCTCCTTGGATATTTTGCTACATATTTTTCATGAAACACCCATGTGTCAATCCCTAAAACACAGAGACTGTGTTCTACGCTGCATACCCTTTAACACCATAGCATTAAATACAGTGCTAAGCAAATAGTGTGCACTCACTTTTTTCTTATTTAAATGTTTTTTTTTACTTTGCTTCAGTTTCTTTATTTGCAAAATTGAAATAGTATTATATTTTAAGGTGATACCTAATAACAACATAATATCTAATAAGAGGACAATATCTAATAATCAGTTTGTACATGCTATTAGTATAAAAAATCCACTTATTAAGCACATAATACATATTAGCTACTATTATTGTTGTTGTCCTGTTGATAGCCAGAGGATGGTAGGGAATTCCTAAATCACTTTTACTTTTCTATAAATATCTTGGTCTTCTCCTGACTGGAACAGATACAGATGAAGGTCCTTTTAGCCGTCATGGTCTATTAGTTTTGCCTCTCCTCCATTTTCAATGGCTTTTTCTCATTTTCTGTAAATGTAATTAGGTGTCTTCTACCCATTTCTAAAATAAAGAAAGAAACCATTCTCTGATTCTTTTTTTCTCTAAGTATCAATATATCCTCATCTCTTACTCCAGCTTCAGTGTTAGGACATTCTCCATCTTCTCTCTCTTTTTTTTTTTTTAGATCATTCCTCAGTTTCTAGTTAACTTTATCCTAATAAATACTCATTGGGCATACATATGTGCTGGGTACTATGCTTGGAAATTAAAATACAGTGATGAATAAGATACACCCAGACTCTGCCTGCATAAAAATTCTTGTCTCTATTCTGCTGAAACTTCTCTTTATAAAAGTTATGAAAGATCTCCTAATTAAATAAGTTAATGACTTACTCTTTGTGTTTTATATAATGTCTCTAGGGCATTTGTGATGAACATTCCTGAAATTGCTCTCACGCTCTCACTTGGCCTTCATGCCACCACTATCTCCGGGTCTTTTTCTACCTCTCAGGACCTCCAGATTAGTTTCCCTAGGTTTCTCTTTTTAATTATATTTTTAATATTCCCTAGAGTTTCATCTTTGGTTCTTTTTACTTGGGATTTCAAAGTAGCATTTTCAGTTGTTTACAAAATATTCTGAACTATTAAATTCCAAAGATAACTCAAAGTCACCATATTAAAACTCACTCACCATCTCCCTCTCTCTCTCTCTGTCTCTCTCTCTCTCTCTCTCTCTCTCTCTCTCAAATATGATCCTGTCTGACATTTGTTACTTCACTTAAAAGCATCACCACTGATTTTAATTGAATTGAATTTTAAAAGTAGATAACATTTTGGTTGATGAGAATTAGAGTAGCAGCATATGTTAATGAAAGAAAGCCACTGAATCAGGAACCAGCTCAATGATTGTTTAATATGTTTCTTCTTTTGAGTAACAACTTTCCTCATCTTACAGAGATTTTCTGGGCTGTATTTAACTTTATTCCTCCTGTAAAGAAAAATGATACTTTTTTTTCTTCGTAAGGTGTATTAACCTGCTGTATTTCCTAGGCCATCCCATTTTGCATTTGATGTAATTTAATACTGAAAATATATTTTATTGGTGATAAGTTTGAGATAATCACTTTTATGCAATATTGAAAAGTACATAAAATACAATCATATCTCAGCATAATAAATTGGATCACAGAGAAATATAGTTATATTAAGTAATATTTAGGGAGATAAGTTTAATAAAATAGCCACAATTCTCCAACAAAGTTAAAAGCATTGCCATTAAGGAACCTTTGAAATGTTAGCAAATAGATACAAGAAAGCTGAAGAATTAAATAAAATCATATAAAAGAAGTTTCCACTAAAACTTGAAAATAAGTATTTAAAGAGGACTTAAACATAGCACTTACACTTTTAGTTCACTATAATATACTTGAAATGAATTGGGAGTTCTCTTGTATGCAGGTATGTGTTAAAATGTTAGAATGATTGAGGAATCTACTTTTCTAGATTTAAGGGCTGTTATGGCCACACTGTTGCATAAACTGTGAAGCTAAAATATTTTGAGAATTACCTGAAATATTAGAATGTGAAGATTTTACAAATAACATATAACAGTGTGGAATAAAATAAACAAGAATGATTTTTAAAGAGAATCTTCAGGGACACAAATCTATGTAGTATGTATGCATTTACATCTATAAACTTTCAACCAGAAGAAAGCTTTGACTATAGCTACCTGATGCTAACACAATTCTCTAAAAGAAAATTCATCAATAAATGGAAGCAGTATTTGGAGTGGTATGAGCTACATGTAATACATGTTTAAGTAGCTTGGCCCTTTGTAGCACTAAACATATATGTGTTTTACAGCATAATTTAGAACTGGTATGGCTTTATATAACTCTTGGAAATTTTTGCCAAATCATTTTAACTTAGCCTGCATATTTCTGAAAAAGGATACTGTTGACATTTGAGGCAGGGCAATGATTTGTTGTGTCATACTATTCCTCATATTGGATAATGTTTGCATCCTTGGCCCCAGGGTACTAAGTGCCAGGAACTGGTAATTGTAATGACATGAAATGCCTTCACACATTTCCAAATGCACTCTAAGAGAGGAGAACAACCCTAGGTTAATAACAGCTGACAATATGTTTTGAAGCTAACATATAAATTTCTTTGATTTCATAATTAGCTTATTTCACAACTGCCTCATTTTTTATGCATGCAATCATGAAGTATTCTGAGTTCCGTTCTTTCCATGAAAGGTAGAATTAGGTTGAGTTTTCTTTACTATTTCATTTAATTAGATATAACACCCATGAATATAAATGTGCAAAACTAAAATGTGCAGTTCATAGATTTTTCACAAAGCAGAAGTTCATGAGACTACTACTCAGTTCAAGAAATAGGACAATGCCAGAAGCCTAAAGTTTTTTTTTTTGCCCCTTCCAAATCACTATGTTCACTTTATGCATAAAAGAAATTACAATGTTGACTTTAATGGTAATCTCATAATAATTTTTAATGTGATTTCTCCCTAAACCTGCAATCGATTAAAAGTAGATTTGAGCTTTGCTTGTTAACTTGTTACATACAGATATGTGAATAAAATCACATACAAATAGTCTCCCAACTTAAAATGATTCAACTTATGATTTTTGGATCTTAAAATGGTGTGAAGCCATAGTACAGGTACCCATACAACCATTCTGTTTCACTTTCAGTAGATTATTCAATAAATTACATGAGACATTCAACACTTTACTACTGCCCAAGTGTAGACTAACATAAATGTTCTGAGCATTTTTATGGTAGGCTAGGCTAAGCTATGATGTTCAGTAGGTTAGGTGTATTAAATGCATTTTTGACTTAAAATACCCCCAACCTATTATGGGTTTATCAGGATGTAACCCCACTGTAAGTCAAGGAACATCTGTATTACTTTTCCTACTGTGTCTGGATACTTTCACTCACACTTAGGTTTATGAGATCCATTCATATCAATATGTAGGTGTAATTGTGTTTTGTTCACGTTCATTGCTATGTGTCTTCCACTGTATGAATATAATAACACAATATATTTATCCATTATATTATTGATAGACATTTCAGTGCGTTCAAGTATTTTATATCATGAATAATGTTTCCACAAACATTTCTTCAAATTTACTCTGGTATAAATGTTCATGTACTTTTGTGGTAAGTGAATTGCTAGATATGAATGTATTCATTCGTTCAACTTAGAAGGATGATATAAAACTCTTCTGCAAAGTGATTTAATAGCACCAGGGTTGAGAATGCCCTTTACATTTTCACCATCATATAATATTTTCTATTCTCTTTTTTATTGATACATCATGATTTTACATATTTCTGGGTCACACATGATATTTTGATGTATGCATACAATGCTCAATGATCAAACCAGAGAAATTGTGATACCCACTATCTCAAATTTTACCATTTCTTTGAATTGGCAACATTCCAAATCTTCTCTTTTAGTGATTCTGCAATACACAATAAATTATTGTTAACTATAGTCACCCTACTGGCTATCAAATACTAGAACTTATTCCTTCAATCTAAATGTATTGTGTACCCATTAGCCAAATTTTCTTAACCAACTTTTCTGTGCCTTCCTCTTCCCAGCCTCTTGTAAGCACCATTCTACTTTCTACCTCTTTGCTGTTTTATTGGGTTATATAGCTATATAACATTGTGGGTTCTATTTGCGTTTCTTTGAGCATTTTCATTTGTCCACTTTCCCTTTGGCTATGATTTTTTATGCAGTACCAGTTGAGGTCCCATAGCCATTTTTCTACTGGGCTTTTTGTGGTAGGTAGTTATAGATTCTATATTAAAGCATGTTGTACATTACATTTATTACAAATGTCTTCTCCAATTGTATGGCTTTACTTTTCACTTTCTTAATGATGTCTTCTATTGAACAGTTTTTATTTTAATGTTGTCAAATGTTCAACTTTTTGTTTATGGTTAATATACCTCATTTCCAGTTTATCTGAATAAAATTAAAATGTTCTTTTCCATATCTTCTTTTATGACTTTTGTTGTAAGCTTTTTTACCGTTAGATATTTTTTATTATACTTTAAGTTTTGGGATACATGTGCAGAACGTGCAGGTTTGTTACATAAGTGTACACATGCCATGGTGGTTTGCTGCACCCATCAACCCGTCATCTACATTAGGTATTTCTTCTAATGCTATCCCTCCCCTAGCCCCTCACCCCCCCGACAGGCCCCAGTGTGTACTGTTCCCCTACTTGTGTCCATGTGTTCTCATTGTTCAACTCCCACTTATGAGTGAGAACATGCAGTGTTTGGTTTTCTGTTCCTGTGTTAGTTTGCTGAGAACAATGGTTTCCAGCTTCATCTATGACCCTGCAAAGGACATGAACTCATCCTTTTATGGCTGCATAGTATTCCATGATGTATATGTGCCAGATTTGCTTTATCCAGTCTATCACTGATGGGCATTTGAGTTGGTTCCAAGTCTTTGCTATTGCGTTTATAGTGCTGTAATAAACATGTGTGTGCATCTGTCTTTATAGAAGAATGATTTATAATCCTTTGGGTATATACCCAGTAATGGGATTGCTGGGTCAAATGGTATTTCTGGTTATAGATCCTTGAGGAATTGCCACACTGTCTTATACAATGGTTGAACTAATTTACATTCCCACCAACAGTGTAAAAGTGTTCCCATTTCTCCACATCCTCTCCAGAATCTGTTGTTTCCTGACTTTTTTTCCTTTTTTTTTTTATTATACTTTAAGTTCTAGGGTACATGTGCACAACATGCAGGTTTGTTACTTATGTATACATGTGCCATGTTGGTGTGCTGCACCCATTAACTCGTCATTTACATTAGGTATATCTCCCAGTGCTATCCCTCCCCACTTCCCCCACCCCATGACAGGCCCCGGTGTGTGATGTTCCCCTTCCTGTGTCCAAGTTTTCTCATTGTTCAATTCCCACCTATGAGTGAGAACACGCAGTGTTTGGTTTCCTGACTTTTTAACGATTGCCCTTCTAACTGGCATTAGATGGTATCTCATTGTGCTTTTGATTTGCATTTCTCTAATGACCTGTGATGATGAGCTTTTTTTCATATGTTTGTTGGCCACCTAAAAGTCTTCTTTTGAGAACTGTCTGTTCATATCCTTCACACACTTTTTGATGGGGTTGTTTTATTCTCGGAAATTTGTTTAAGTTCCTTGTAGCTTCTGGATATTAGCCCTTTGTCGGATGGATACATTGAAAAACATTTGTCCCATTCTGTAGGTTGTCTGTTCACTACGATGATAGTGTCTTTTGCTGTGAAGAAGCGCTTTAGTTTAATTAGATCCCATTTGTCAATTTTGGCTTTTGTTGCCATTTCTTTCAGTGTTTTAGTTATGAAGCCTTTGCCCATGCCTATGTCCTGAATGGTATTGCCTAGGTTTTCTTCTAGGTTTTTTATGGTTTTAGGTCTTACATTTAAGTCTTTAATCCATCTTGAGTTAATTTTTCTATAAGGTGTAAGGAAATGGTCCAGTTTCAGTTTTCTGCATATGGCTAGCCAGTTTTCCCAACACCATTTATTAAATAGGAAATCCTTTCCCCATTGCTTGCTTTTGTCAGGGTTGTCAAATATCAGATGGTTGTAGATGTGTGGCGTTATTTCTGAGGCCTCTGTTCTGTTCCATTGGTCTACATATCTGTTTTGGTACCAGTACCATGCTGTTTTGGTTACTGTAGCCTTGTATGTGGTTTGAAGTCAGGTAGCATGATGCCTCCAGCTTTGCTCTTTTTGCTTAGGATTGTCTTGGCTATACGGACTCTTTTTTGGTTCCATATGAAATTTAAAGTAGTTTTTCTAATTCTGAGAAGAAAGTCAATCATAGCTTGATGGGGATGGCTTTGAATCTATAAATTATTTGGGGCAGTATGGCCATTTTCACGTTTCTTCCTATCCATGAGCATGGAATGTTTTTCCATTCGTTTGTGTCCTCTCTTATTTCCTTGAGCAGTGGTTTGTAGTTGACCTTTAAGAGGTCCTTCACATCCCTTGTAAGTTGTATTCCTAGGTTTTTTATTCTCTTTGTAGCAATTGTGAATGCGAGTTCACTCATGATTTGGCTGTTTGTCTGTTATTGGTGTATAAGAATGTTTGTGATTTTTGCAGATTGATTTTGTATCCTGAGACTTTGCTGAAGTTGCTTATCAGCTTAAGGAGGTTCTGCACTAAGACAATGGGGTTTTCTAAATATACAATCATATCATCTACAAACAGAGATGATTTGACTTTCTCTCTTCCTATTTGAATACCCTTCATTTCTTTCTCTTGCCTGATTGCCCTGGCCAGAACTTCTAATACTACGTTGAATAGGAGTGATGAGAGAGGGCATCCTTCTCTTGTGCCGGTTTTCACAGGGAATGCTTCCAGCTTTTACCCATTCAGTATGATACTGGCTGTGGGTTTGTCATACATAGCTCTTATTATTTTGAGATACATTCCATCAATACCTAGCTTATTGAGAGTTTTTAGCCTGAAAGTTTGTTGAATTTTATCAAAGGCCTTTTCTGAATCTATTAAGATATTCATGTGGTTTTTGTCATTGCATTTGTTTATGTGATGGATTATGTTTATTGATTTGTGTATGTTGAATCAGCCTTGCATCCCAGGGATAAAGATGACTTGATTGTGTTGCATAAGCTTTTTGATGTGCTGCTGGATTCAGTTTGAGAGTATTTTATTGAGGATCTTCGCACCAACGTTCATCAGGGATATTGGCCTGAAATTTTGTTTTTTTTGTTGTGTCTCTGCCAGGTTTTGGTATTAGGATGATGCTGGCCTCATAAAATGAGTTAGGGAGGAGTCTCTCTTTTTCTGTTGTTTGGAATAGTTTCAGAAGGAATGGTACCAGCTCCTCTTTGTACCTCTGGTAGAATTCGGCTGTGAATCTGTCTGGTCGTGGCCTTTTTTTTTTGATTGGTAAGCTATTGATTACTGCCTCAATTTCAGAACTTGTTATTGATCTATTCAGGGATTCATTCGCTTTCTGGTTTAGTCTTGCAAGGGTGTATATGTCCAGGAATTTATCCATTTTTTCTAGATTTTTTAGTTTATTTGCCTAGAGTTGTTTATAGTATTCTCTGATGGTAGTTTGTATTTTTGGGGGATCAGTGGTGATATCCCCTTTATCATTTTTTTATTGTGTCTATTTGATTCTACTCTCTTTTATTAGCCTGGCTAGTGTTCTATTTTCTTAATTTTTTCAAAAAACCAGCTCCTGCATTCATTGATTTTTTGAAGGGTTTTTTGTGTCTCTATCTCCTTCAGTTCTGCTCTGATCTTCATTATTTATGGTCTTCTGCTATCTTTTGAATTTGTTTGTTCTTGCTTCTCTAGTTATTTTAATTGTGATGTTAGGGTGTTGATTTTAGATCTTTCCTGCTTTCTCCTGTGGGCATTTAGTGCTATAAATTTCCCTCTAAACACTGCTTTAGCTGTGTCCCAGAGATTCTGGTACGTTGTGTCTTTGTTCTCATTGGTCTCAAAGAGCTTATTTATTTCTCCCTTAATTTGTTTTATGTATCCAGTAGTCATTCAGGAGCAGGTTGTTCAGTTTCCATGTAGTTGTGTGGTTTTGAGTGTGTTTTTTAATCCTGAGCTCTAATTTGATTGCACTGTTGTCTGAGAAACTGTTTTTTATGATTTCTGTTCTTTTGCATTTGCTGAGGACTGTTTTACTTTCAATTATGTGGTCAATTTTAGAATAAGTGTGATGTGGTGCTGAGAAGAATGTATGTTCTGTTGATTTGGCATGGAAAATTGTGTAGATGTCTATTAGGTCTCCTTGGTAACGAGTGAAGACAAGATTAATGAAAAAAGAATGAAAAGGAACAAACAAAGCCTCCAGGAAATATGGGACTATGTGAAAAAGACCAAACCTACATTTGATTGGGGTAACTAAAAGTGACGGGGAGAATGGAAGCAATTGGAAAACACTCTTCAGGATATTATCCAGGAGAACTTCCCCAACCTAGCAAGACAGGCCAACATTCAAATTCAGGAAATACAAACAACACTACAAATATACTCCTTGAGAAGAGCAACCCCAAGACATATAAACATCAGATTCACCAAGGTTTAATTGAAGGAAAAAGTGTTAAAGGCAACCAGAGAAAAAGGTCTGGTTACCCACCAAGGGAAGCCTATCAGACTAACAGTGGATCTCTCTGCAGAAATCCTACAAGCAGAAGAGAGTGGGGGCCAATAATCAACGTTCTTAAAAAAAAGAATTTTCAAACCAGAATTTTATATCCAGCCAAACTAAGCTTCATAAGCAAAGGAGAAATAAAATCCTTTACAGACAAGCAAATGCTGAGAGATTTTGTCACCACCAGGCCTGCCTTACAAGAGCTCCTGAAGGAAGCATTAAATATGGAAAGGAAAAAACGGTACCAGCCACTGAAAAAGCATACCAAATTGTAAAGACTATTGACACTATGAAGAAACTGCATCAACTAACGGGCAAAATAACCAGGTAGCATCATAATGACAGGATCAAAGTCACCCATAACAATATTAACCTTAAATGTAAACGTGCTAAATGCCCCAATTAAAAGACACTCACTAGCAAATTGGATGAAGAGTCAAGACCCATCAGTCTGCTGTATTCAGGAGACCCATCTCACGTGCAAAGATACACATAGGCTCAAAATAAAGGGATGGGGGAATATTTACCAAGCAAATGGAAAGCAAAAAAAAGCAGGAGTTAAAATCCTAGTATCTGATAAAACAGACTTTAAACCAACAAAGATCAAAAAAGACAAAGAAGGGCATTACATAATGGTAAAGGGATCAATGCAACAAGAAGAGCTCACTATCCTAAATACATATGCACCCAATACAGGAGCACCCAGATTCAAAAAGCAAGTTCTTAGAGACCTACAAAGAGACTTGGACTCCCACACAATACTAGTGGGAGACTTTAACACCCCACTGTCAATATTAGGTCAATGAGACAGAAAATTAACAAGGATATTCAGGACTGACCATTAGACTTATAATCCACCTCAAATTAATTTTGGGGTGTTACATGAGGTTGGGGGTGACAGGTTTTTGTGTTTTTTATTTCAAATGTGGATATACATTTGTTCTAGGGCCCACTTATTTTAACGACCATTATTTCCATTCTCTCTGCAGAGCAGACTTTATTACAAATCAAATATTAATATGTGCTTGAGTCAGTTCCTGGACTTTCTATTCTGTATTAATGATCTGTTTTTTTATCCTTTTGTGAATACTATACTGCTTTTCTGGGCGTAGTTTTCAAATAATTCTTGATATCTTTAAAAGCACACCTTTCTATCTTGTTCTTTTTAAGAAACGTTGTGGCTATACTTGCTCTTTGAATTTTCATATAAAGTTTAGAATAAGCTTGTTGAGTTTTAAAAGTGTAATCTGATTAGATCTTAATTGAAATTTTATTGAATATATAAATTGGTTTTGGGAAGAATTAATTTCATGGCATTGACTCATCCAATTTAATACATAAAATTTTCCTCTATTGATTTAAGTTTTTTAAAGTTCTTTAATCAATGATTTATGATATTCTGGGTAGAACTATTTTACACATTTTATTAAATACATTTCTAGTACTTGATATTATAATACTATTTTTATGATATCTTAGTTGTAAATTTCCCTTTCAAAATGCTATTTTGATAATATATGAAAATGTAATTGACCTTGTATCCATCAATCTTACTAAATTCAATTACTAATCTAATAATATATCTGTAGATACTTTTTGTTTATCTACATATATAATTTCTCATCTTCAATAAGGACATCATCTATTATCTAATAAGGGTTGTTTTTCAATCCTTATATCCTGTGATTTTTTTCTTCATTTATTTCACTAACCAGGATATCCAGTATAATGGTAAATAGTGATGATGATATTGGGCATCATTTTATATTTATTTATTTATTTATTTATTTATTTATTTATTTATTTATTTTAGACAGAGTCTCACTCTGTCATCCAGGCTGGAGTGCAGTGGCATGATCTCGGCTCACTGCAACTTCTGCCTCCCAAGTTCAAGCAATTCTCCTGCCTCAGCCTGCTGAGTAGCTGGGATTACAGGCACCTGCCACCACGCCCAGCTAATTTTTGTATTTTTAGTAGAGATGGAGTTTCACCATGTTGGTCAGGCTGGTCTTGAACTCCTGACCTCGTGATCTGCCCACCTCAGCCTCCCAAAGTGCCGGGATTACAAGCATGAGCCACTGCACCCAGCCTGGGCATCATTTTCTTATTCCTAAACTTGAAAGGAAATTTTTCTGTATTTTACCATTAAATACAATAGTTGTTGTAGATTTTTGCAAATACTTTTGTAAAAAATTTAATCCCTCCATTTCTAGTTTTACCAATGGATAGTCCTCCATTTCTAGTTTGCAAAAATCCCTCTATTTGTATTTTGCTATTTTTAACCAATGGATAAATGTTAAGTTTTACCAAATTTATTTTGCATCTTTTGAAATGATCATATTATTTTCCTCCTTTGTTATTGTGGTTAATAATATTTTTTTCCTAATATAAAATCAACCTTGCATTTTTTGAATAAACCCACTTAGTATCTCATTTACTCAGTTAAAATCTCGCACTACGATTTTGGATTTGACCATTCCTCCTCATAGTTCTTTCCATTTTTGCTTTATATATTTTAAAGCAATAATAGTCCATACTAACTTAGAATATTTCTTTTTGGTTAATTTAAACTTTCTTTATGAATTATTGCACTTTATTTTTCCTGCTTTATTTTGTTTGGTGCTTATGTGGTGTATATTTTCTATTATTTTTTCAGACTTTTGTTTTATTTATGTTTTAGATACGATGCTGGTAAAAAAAAAAAAAAAAAAAAAAAAGCATGACACTGTATTTGGTTTCACACCCGTCTGATCATCTTTGTTAACTAGGGACATTTAATCCACTTGTATTTAATGAAATTACTGTAATATTTTGGTTTAAAACTACCCACTTTTATTGGTTCTTTATGTGTGTCATCTTCTATATTTTTATCTTTTGCCACATTTCAAAGAGTATGTTTTTATCATTTCATTTTCCCTCCATTAGCCTGGAAGTTATGCAGTTTTTAAAAATTCTTTGAGTGGTTAACCTAGATATATAAATCTTTATTATAACAATGTATAATATTAGTTGGTACAATAACACTGCTTCTCTACAACTCCTTAGAACATTTTAGCACCATTCTCTCAATTAATATGTCACTTTTATTTTATGTTTTAATTACCTCCTTATTTTAAATTAAATAAGACATTATTGTTATTGTTTTCTACAGCGTTTTGATTACTATTGATACCTAAGAAACTGCCTAAAAACTTACTGACTTTTAAAAAAGTCATTTTATTGTACTCACAAATTCTGTGAGTCAGGAATTCAGGAATTCAGACAAAGGATAGCAGCTCTGGTTTGTCTAATTCACAATGTCTGGAACCTCAGAAATACATGATGGCTGGGGATGACTCAATGGCTGGAGAATAGCAAATATGTGGAAACTCCTTTACTAATACCTGATGCTTGGTTTGGAAAGACTAAAACACTAAAACTGATCAACAGAGCAACAATACATAGTCTCTTGATGTGAACTGATTTCTTCACAGTATAGTGACTTCAGGTTACTCAGACATCTTCATGCCATTTCACAGCTGTAAGCAATAGTTTTCCAGCAAATGAGGTAGAAGCCACATCATCTTTCCATCACATTCTATTTGCCAAGCCAATCATAAGTGAACTCTGATTCAAGGGAAAGGGATATAAATCCTACCTCTCTAGCCAAGGACTGTCAAGTAAATCACCACAATTTTATGTAAACTGCTATAGTCAATTTTAAGTGAAATTCATCCATAATGAGGGTAAGATTAAACAGAAGGCTTTCCCCCTCAAACTCACCTTTTCTCTAATACTTTCCACTGCAGTAAATGGTACTATACTTTATCAAATCACTCAGTCCAAAAATCTAGAAATCATCCTTGATTTTCTGTTTTCTCTTCACTCCATATTCACTCCATCAGTATTTCCTGGTCACTTTTCCTGGAAATTATATATAATATTCAAAAATTTCTCATATCCATCATTATCCCTTTTCTGGGCTACTACAATATCTTCCTTACTGGATTTCTGCTTTTACTTTTAATCTTGCTCCCTTTAAACCACATGGCATGTGAAGTAATTTTTAAAAATATAATTAGGGCAAACAGTCCTCACCTTTTACTATTCTACTCCTCACTCATTTGTTTTCTAAACATACTGGAGTTCTTTCAGTCCAACACGCTAAGCTTGTTCCTGTCTTTAGAAATTTGTATTCACTTTGTGTCTGAAGCTTGTCCAGACACTTGTGTGGTTCACTTTCTCCCTTCTTTCAGGTTTCTACTCAAATGATCTCAGGATCTTTCTTGACCATTAAATTTAAATTACCACTTTTCAAGAACTATATGTTTCTTACCATATTTTATTTGTCTTCATAGCACTTAGCACCAGTTAAAATGTTATGTGTGTGTGTGTGTGTGTGTGTGTGTGTGTAAGATATCAGTACATGTCCAGACAGAAAATAGATGGAACACTCAAAAGTAGTAATTTGAGGAGAGTTTAATAAAAAGGATTAGTGGCAGAGTGTGAGCAGGGGTTAGACAAATTAACAAGAGATAGTGCAACATCCCCGGGATAGCAACAGTGGAAAGACATTCCATCCCTAGGAGTAAAGAGGCAAGGAGAGAGAGGGTTTATGAGAACCTGGATTGGAAAGCTACACGGAGAATGCAACCTTACCTGACTCTTCATAACCTTGTAAAAGGACACAGCTTATCTGCAGTTAATAACCGGCAGAGAAAGAGCAGAAGGATATAAGAACATCAACTTAATTTCCCAACTTCACTGTGATCTGCCTATCAACCCACACCCATGGAACAATCCTAATCAGAAGACACAAGGTAAGGAATCCTGAGGATTTGATGTTAAGGATAAGCCTCCTGGAGCACAGAACAGGGTGGAGAAGCATAGAGAATAGATCTGGACAGGAAGGAGAAAATTCGATCATGTCTCCTGCTCAGTGTAATATGTACTCTAGGAGGGCAAGAACTGTCTTCTTTGTTCACCACTGTATTCCCAGCACCTAGATTACTGCCTAGCACATAGTAGGTCCTCAAAAAATATTTTAAAATTAATTAGGATAGCATACTTTATTCAATTGAGTACAATACTTTAAAATATCTGAGCAAGATACCAACTGAAAATGCTTCATTTTTATATTATATTTGTGTTAATGGAGGCAAGCTAAATTATATTGTGCAAGGAATCACAAAGTTTCAGTGGCAGAAAGGAATGCATTTTTTTATTATTATATATCATATCCAGGGTTGTCCCTGTTCTTCATGGTCACTCAGGTATGAGACTGACAGAGGAGTCTCTGTCTTACGCATTGTCTGTCATGTACCAGTTGGAAAAGAGAGTGCTGGATTATTGGCAATTAAATACTCAATTTGTAAGTTACATCTGCTCACAATTAATTGACCACAATTAGTCATGTGACTTCACACAACCGCGTTGGACCTAAATGTGCAATCTTATCATGTATCTAAAACACTGAGAGCCAGGAAATATGATGACCAAACCACTGTGAAGCTAAGGATACTTTCCTTGTGAAGATTGAGCATGGAAGATAGTGGCAGATAGACCACCAGATGTGTCCAACAACAAAGCAAATTAAGTCACTGGAAAAGAGAAAATATATATTAATAAACATTAATAAATATATTTATTATAGTCTTATTTCCATTTATATTGTGAAAGAATTTTATAGTTTAAGTAACATCTCTTGCCTTTCTATAAATTAGCATATTGTGAAGTTTTTATTAAAGGTAAACGTCCTTGTAAAGACAAGTGTGCAATTGAACACTCGTGAGACTTCTGAGTACACTCCTTTCATAGACTCCATAATATAGAAATTGAAAAGGATATGAAAGGATATGGTTCTCTTACCTTAGAGGTGAAGAAAACAAGGTCTATATTAAACAAAGTTTTTCCAAGATGTACATTTACTAGCAGAGCTAGGAGTCAATTCTAGGCCTAACTGCTTCTCGAGTGCTCTTTCCACTGCCCTGCAGCTGCACGTTGCCTTTTATTGAAGTTACTATTAGAAATCTGACCCCAATTAATTAACTTGACAATAATAAGTATTCATGGTTTAGAAATTACCAAGTTTAATATTTAGTAATATTAATTATGCAAATATCCACAAACAGTACTTTGAAGAAAGGGTAGTGTGATGGATGGTTAATATTGAGTGTCAACTTGATTGAATTGAAGGATGCAAAGGATTGTTCCTGGGTGTGTCTGTGAGGGTGCTGCCAAAAGAGATTAACATTTGAGTAAGTGGACTGGGAGAGGCAGACCCACCCTCAATCTGGGTGTGCACCGTGTGATCAGCTGCCAGCATGGCTAGAATTAAGCAGGCAGAAGAAATTGGAAGGAGCCGATTTGCTGAGTCTTCTGGCATTCATCTTTTCCCCATGCTGGATGCTTCCTGCCCTAGAACATCAGACTCCAGGTTCTTCAGTTTTTAGACTTTTGGACTTAACCAGTATTTTCCAGGGGCTCCAGGGCCTTTGGCCACAGACTGAAGGCGGCACTATCAGCTTCCCTACTTTTGAGGTTTTGGGACTCAGACTGATCCACCACTGGCTTCCTTGCTCCTCAACTTGCAGACAGCCTATTGTGAGACTTTACCTCGTGACTGTGAGTCAATTCTCTTTAATAAACTCCCTTTCATATATAAATATATCTTCTTAGTTCTGTGCCTCTAGAGAACCTTGACTAATACAGGTAGATATTCAATAAAGATTTTCTAGTGAGGCTGTAAATTATATGTAAAAAGGGTGGTTACAACAATTTAATGGAATATTACTTTTTCCTGTCTATATTATTTTGCTGGTAGGTAGGAAAAACTTGGCCAAGTATCTAGGCAAACATCCCAAGTTTTAAACAATGTTTTTATTCTACTTTTTTACTTGCTCACCCACAGAAGTGTTAAGCCAAACAGATTCTATGGCTTCCACACAAATGAGTAAGTGATGAAGTTTATGTACATGAACATTGCCGGTGCTGATGATCTTCCAAGAATCTAAGGTAAACCATCTTGTATAAATAGTCAAATTCCAGTAAATTCTAGTATTCTGCTCTCAAATGAAAATAATGATTGGTTGTCTCATAACATTTATTAGTATAATTTTATGTCCATCAGTTTTACTTAAGTCGCTAGATTTGAAAACAACTTACTAAATTATACTTTAGCTAAAATTCATTGGCACGAATAAACATGAGTTATTTTCACTGTTTTTAAATTTCTGAGACTGTTGCTAAACAGGTAATAAACAGTTTTCTACCTAATTAAAAATTAAAATCTTAGGTCTTATTCAGCTCTAGAATAGTTTTAGGCAGAATAGCATAACATACTGTTATATGAGTTTTTTTTTTTTAATTCTGATAGTTAACTAATTGTTTCCCTAGAGTATAAAATTCATCAAGATTTCAAGAATGCCTAGCTTTAAGGTTTTAATTCTTAGAGTACAAAAATTCAGAATATTATAATTTTTTAATGAGATTTTTACATAATACTATGGGCCCTCGTCTTGTTTGATATTATTGCTTGTCTCCAACTGTTTCTTTAAAAAACGGAAAACAGCAAGTAAAATAACCAAATTTGGTATTTGTTAACAACCAGATCATCTGAAACCTGGATTTCTCTACTTAATTTTTACTAATATTACTGTCAGAGTAACACAGTTTCTAACTTTGAAGATTCAGATGGTAAACAGGATTTTTTAAAATGCAAGGATGTCAGGCTTATTTCCTAAAAATAGCCATATGGAATACAATATAAATTCTAGGTTTTGAAGCTGTTTCTATGACACACATATTACTGATAGCTTTTATTATAATTTATAGCATCACACTGATGTCACATTGTTTTCTAAATGTCTTGCAGATTTCAATGTGTGAGAGACTAATTTGTTAACTGTTCTGTCTTGGGTTTGAGTTTTTGTTTTTTATGAGTTTAAAAAATACCAACTTATGATAGAGCAGAGACTAAAGAAAACAAACAAAAAAGAAAATACTCAGAGTTTAACTTCTCTATTTTACTGTCAGTCTCTAACCTACAGCATTTTGAAGTTAATGGCAATGATGACTGGGGAAAATGTGCACAGAGAGAATTACCACATAAACTTATACCTGTTTCAAATTGTAGGTAGTACAACTATGCCTTTAAGAGTTACTTCTTTGTGTACCTCTCAGAACACCATTATTGAGCAAATGACATTAGAAAATACAATTAGGAAAGAAATAATATAGATACTAATCATAAAATTAATATTATCTAAGGAGTTTTTTAAAAGTTGATAGAAACTTGGTTATAGTGTTTCAACTTAAAATGGTATATTAAATAGTATCAAACAATATTTTTTCATTTACTCATTCTTCTGACAGGCATTTAAGGAATGCTAATGTCATTTGGGAACTGCAAATCGAAACCATAAATATATACCAATTTACCTCCACTATGATGGCTAGAATGAAAAGGATAGATGGTAACAAGTGTTGACAAGGATGGCAGAAAGTAAAACCCTCATGCGCTGATGGTGAAAACGTAAAGTTGTGCAGCCAGTCCAGAAAAAATTCTGTAAGTTCCTCAAAAAATTTAACATAGAGTTATGTTATGACCAAGAAATGAAAATGAAAATATTCTGTCCACACAAAAAGTTTTACATGAATGCTTATACCAGTATTACTCATAATAATAAAAAGGAGAAACCACTCAAATATCTACTGATGAATGAATGGACAAACAAAATGTGGTAAAGCCATAGAATACCATATTGCTCAGCCACAAAAATGAAATAAATTACTGATACATGCTACAGCGTGAATAAACCGTGAAAACATTATAATAAGTGAAAGAAACCAGTCAGAAATGCCCACATACTGTAGGTTTCATATGTAAGAAATATCCAGAATAGGCAAATCTATAAGACAAAAAGTACATTCATGGTTGCCAAGGGCTGGGATGAGGGGAAAATGGAAAATGACTGCTAATGGGTATGGGTATGGGTTTTCTTTCCATGGTGATGAAAATATTGTAGATTAGATAAAGGTAATTATTACATAAATCCATAAATATGCTGAAATGACTGAATTGTAACTTTAAAGTGTGAGCTTTTGGTATGTGAATTATATCTCAGTAAAGATATTTTTTAAAAAGATTCTTATTACATATAGTATAATGCATTTAAATGCAAGATAACCAAAACAGAAATCAAAAGGAAAAAAAGCCCTCATAATCTAGAAAGGAAGTAACTTGGGAAAATATCCCAGTGGCCCTGGTAAGAAGTAGAAGAAAATGGTGGGATTAGGCCTAAAGTGAAGATGACAGGGATAAAGAGAAAGCTATAGGTTTGAGAAATTAACTAGAGACATAGAACCAATAGGAATTGGTGGAACATTGGATATAAGGATAAAAGAAGGAAGGGAGAAACAATATTTTAATTTGTTACAAAAAGTATCATTATTTCATTTACATGACATGTGGAATACAGGAAGAGGAGGCTTCTAGGAAAAGAAAGGCAATTTAGTTTTGGACAATGAATTTAAAGATGTCTATAGAATGCCATCCACTACAAGCATTATCCATTTGGTCTTCATCAGTAGCCATTTCCAGAATACTGAATAAGATCTTTTTTAGCCATATAAATATTTGTGCTCTTAGGAAAGATGTATTTCCTTTTAAAGATGAATCTTCATTTTATTACTTTAAAAAGGATACTTTGGACCTACATATACCTTGAAAGTGATAGAGTAACAACATACAAAGGAGCTTATTTCCCCCAGCTTCTCATATACTTCCCATCAAATTCTGAATCTTATGTATATAGCATCTTCACATTGATTCATATGCACTAACTTTGGTGTTGTTTTAACATTTTTGGTAGTATGTTTTATATCCTTGCTACTGAGAAACATCACGAGGTCAGGAGATCGAGACCATTCTGCTAACACAGTGAAACCCCGTCTCTACTAAACATACAAAAAATTAGCTGGGTGTGGTGGCAGGTGCCTGTAGTCCCAGCTACTTGGGAGGCTGAGGCAGGAGAATGGTGTGAATCCAGGAGGCGGAGCTTGCAGTGAGTCGAGATCGCGCCACTGCACTCCAGCCTGGGCGACAGAGCAAGACTCCGTCTCCAAAAAAAAAGAATATGAACCATAGTGACAAACATTGTTTTTAGTTGCTTGTATAAACATTTCTTCTGCGAGCAGAAAATTTCTAATGAAGAAGAAAATCAGAAGAAGACTGAAGAAAAACAAAAAGGTGATTAAAAACGTTTTCTAGATCTCTTCTCCATAAATAAATAATGCCTAGGTATTCATACAATAGAAAGTATTTTTTTCAAATATAAAATAGGTAAGGAATATACAATTATATTTTAAAAGTAGCATTATATTTTAATAAAAATATATTGGTAAATTGCTGTTAACAAATCGCTATTTAAAATATAATCCATTAAAATGAATTATATATATATAATTTTAATACTAATATATAATCAACTTAAACTGTGATGTTTAGTATCTCTTATCTATTTATGTCACCCATGGTTAAAACACATAATCTCATGTGAATCAGCTCTCAAGTATCAATACAAGTAAAATGGCTCAGGGTCAGGGCACAGTGACATGCACCTATAGTCCCAGCTACTCAGGGGGCTGAGGCTGGAAGATAGCTAGAGCCCCGGAATGCAAGGCCAGCTTGAGTAGCAGAATAAGACAGCATCTCTAAAATATCATCATCATCATTATTAAAATAACTCAAGGGCATAGAAACTTCAAAAATTATTTAAAAGCCCCGTTACTAATTTTCCCATTACCAGCCTCATCATTATTGTTTGCTTAGACCTCAAATTGCCAGAACACATCTTTAACTGCTTCAGAGAGATGATACATGTTTTGGGTTTCAATTGTTCTTTCATTTTGACTGTGTACTGGAGAGTCTACATATAGAGAGAATATAGAGAGAATCTACATATACATATGTGTATTTATAAGTTAAAGATATTTTATTACTAATAATTATGTTCAATTTATGAGGTAATGATCTAACATGGATAAAATAACTATTTGTACTTTAGTGCATATAATCAGTCTTTTTATTAGGTCAAGTCAAGAAACTTTATAAGCATGACCACAATAGTTTACACGATTAGATTCAAATATACTATTACGATATTTAGTTGAGAATATCGAGCTTCTCTACAAAAGGATCCAAAATTGATTAAAAACCTAAGATAAAGACCTGATGTTATAAATTTTATATTCTAGCTCCAGGCACATAGTTAAATTGTCAGCATGGCTTTATTGACAAAAAGAAGGAAGAAAAGTTAATGTAACATTTTACCATGCTATAGAGAATTGGAAACATTTTGGAGAATTTTGTTTCAAAAAACTGTGGACAGAGTCAATGTGGACAACACTGCATGCTAAAATATTTACAAATGTTTCTTCTATGTGATCAAAATGCTTAAAAATATATCTGCTGGAAAGAAAGGCAAATCCTCAGATGACAGAAAAAAAAATCTCTAAGCGATCAAGGGAAATTCTACTGAATATGGTATAGACTTAGGTGATAGGGGCTAATACCTATGTGGAGATAAGATATCTGGCTTTCATCAAGGTAAATCAGGGATTTATCTTTGAAATAGCACAAATCTGGGACCCTGAACAAGCTGACCCTTCAATTGAAAAAAATGGGAAAGATTTTTCTCCTTGGTGTAAAGAAGCTACATGAAATTTGTTTCTTTTCCTGGAACTTCTAGAAACAAGCAAACAAACAAAAACATATTCTGTGTAAAAGTTAAAGCAATGTTCAAGGTATGCACCAAATGGGCATATGGATTCAATTTTATATCATTCATCTGGTGCAGGAATCCTGAGGCCAATACATGAACATGAAAACACTGAGGGCAAAACAACCATAAGCAAATGTGAAAACTGTGGTGAATGCCTTGATGATTCACCCAGATTTTCCTAAATAAATGAGGCACTTCTTTCCTCTAGCTGTGTGGAGTGAGGCTTGGCACAAAGCCTTTAACTATTAGCCTCTATGGGAATTACCTCTGCTGGAAAGTAATTTGCACAGAGGCACGTGCCTTTCCAGGGCCGCTTTCCTCACAAGACTTGTCAACATGACAGCACAAAGGTCAGGCTCTTTTGCCCCCAGACAATTTTCCAATATTCCTTGTAGGGTAAGATGAGCCATACGTTAAAACCGTATGAAATGTATTGACCCTAACAGTGTATCCTAAAAATTACTATATGCAAATTTATTTTTTCTTCTTCAACTTTTAAGTTCAGGGGTACAGGTGCAGGATGTGCAGGTTTGTGACATAGGTAAACATGTGCCACGGTGATGTGCTGCACAGATCAACCCATCACCTAGGTATTAAGCCCAGCATCCATTAGCTGTTCTTCCCGATGCTCTCCCTCACCCTGCCTGCTTCTGCAACAGGCCCCGGTATGTTTTGTTCCCCCACATGTGTCCATGTTTTCTCATTGTTTAGCTCCCACTTATAAGTGAGAATATGTGGTTCTTGGTTTTCTGTTCCTGCATTAGTTTGCTGAGCATAAGTGTTTCCAGCTCCATCCATGTCCCTGCAAAAGACATGATTTTTATTATTATTATTATTATTTATGGCTGAATAGTTTTAGATTCTGCTTCACAGAAAACACAACCAGCAACAACATTTACACACTAGAGCACACGGGACTACAACACACCCAAAAATGTATGTTTCTTGCCGAAGATACACTTAGTATTAAACAATTCAAAAGTTCAGAGGACATGATCTGTAACAAGTGAGTTAAGAGACACCATGAACAAAATGAGTATTATAAAGGTACATGACAAAGAGAGGGAGGCTGAAGCAAGTTGGTGGAATAGAAAGCTCCACCAATCGTCCTCCCTACAAGGACACCAAGTTAACAACTATGTACATAGAAGATGTTTACCTTCATAAGAACCAAAAATCTGGTGAACACCCATCGTTTCTGGTTTTAACTTGACATCACTGAATGAGGCACTGAAAAGATAGAAAAAGCAGTCCAGAATTGCTGACGCCACCTCCAGCTGGAATACGTGGTGCAGAGAGATTCTCTGGGTGCTGGGGGAGGGAGAACACAGCAATTATGAGGCATTGAACTCAGTCAGTGCTGTTCTGTTAGAACAGAAAGGAAACCAGGACCAAACTCAGCTGATGCTGGCCCACAGAGGGAGCATTTAAACCAGCTGTAGCCAGAGGGGAATCACCAATTTCAGTGGTACAAACGTGAGTGCCTGTAAACATTGCCATCCATGGCTACAGCACTCTGTGTCTCCAAGTAAACTGGAAAAGCAGTCTAGGCCATAAGGACTACAACTCTTAGGTGAGTCCTAGGGCTGAATTAGGCCCAGAGACAGTGGACTGGGGGGTGGGGCACATGACACACTGATGCACCAGCTGGGGCATCAAAAGAAGTGCTGGCATCACCCCTCCCCTAAGCCCAGGCTGCAGAGCTCATGGCTCCAAAAGAGAACCCTTCCTTCTGCTTAAGGAGAGGAGGGATAAGAGTGAAGAGGACTTTGTCTTACATGTAGGATACCAGCTCAGCCATAGCAGAATAGGGCACTGGTCAGAGTCCTAAAGCCCTTGTTCCAGGCCCTGGTTCCTAGATGACATTTTTAGATATACCCTGGTTCAGAAGGGAAACAGTTTCTCCGAAAAAATTAAGCCAGTCCTGTCAGCATTTATCACCTGCTAACGTGGGACCTGAATAAACAGCCACAACACCCAGGTACATTAAGGGCTTTGGATGAGCCTCTTGAGACTTCCTGGTTTCAGGTACCAGGATGCCAACAGGAGGGTAGAGCACCAAACAGGCTTTTGGGGTCCCCAATTCCAGCACTTGACTTTTGTATGGCATTTCTGAACCTACCCTGGGCCAGAAGGGAGCCCATTGCCCCAAAGGGTGAGTCCTAGTCCTGGAAGCATTCACAACAAGCTGAATTCAGAGACCTTGAGACAAAGGCAACATAGTGGTACTCTGGCAGTACTCTTCATAGCCTGAGGTAGTGGTGGCTACAGGGTGAGGCTCCTCTTTCTTTATAAAGGAGAGGGAAGACAGAGAGAAAAATGTGTCTTGCGGCTTGTGTACCAGCTCAAATGCAATAGAGTAGAATACCAAGTAGACTTCTAAAGTCAATGACGGTAGACCCTGACTCACAGATGATACTTCAGGACCTACCCAGGGCTTGGGGGACCTCACTGCCTTGAAGGGAAGAACACAAGCCTGGCTGGCTTTGCCACCTGATAATTGTAGAGCGCCAGGGCCTTGAATGAACATAGGCAGTAGCCAGAGAGTAGTTTCAGCAGGCCTTGGGTGAGACGAAGGACTATGCTGGCTTCAGGTCTAACCCAGTGCAGTCATAGTGGTGATGGCCACAGGGGTGCTTGCATCACTACATCCCCAGCTTTAGCTGGCTTAGAACAGAGAGAGAGAGAGAAAGAGAGAGAGAGAGAATGTTTGGAAGAAAATAAGGGAAGAGAACAGGAGTCTCTGCATGGTAATCTAGAGATCTCCCAAATCTTGTTCAAGACAACCAAGGCTATGAGTCTGCAAGATCCACAGAGTTAGTGGTCTTGGGTTTCAACCTAAAGCAGATAAAGAGTAGATCACAACACCCAAGTTTTTTGAAATATTTTGAAAGCCTTCCCAAGAAGGATGGCTACGAATAGGCCCAGACTGTGAAGACAACAACAGATACCTAGCCCTTCAATGTCCAAACACTGACAAACATCTACTAGCATCAACACCATTCAGGAAAACATGATCTCACCAAATAAACTAAATAAGCCATCAGGGACCAATCCTCCTAGAGAAACAGAGATATGTGACTTTTCAGACAGAAGGTTCAAAATAGTCACGTTGTTGAAAGAGAAATTTAAGATAACACAGAGAAGGAATTCACGATTCTATCAGACAAATTTAACAAAGAGCTTGATATACTTAAAATATATCAAGTAGAAATTCTGGAGCTGAAAAATACAATTGGCCTGCTGAAAAAGGTATTGGAGCCCTTTAAGAGCAGAATGGATTAAGCCGAATAAAAAATTAGTGAACATGAAGGCAGGCTATTTGGAAATACACAGTTAGAGGACACACACACACAAAGAATAAAAAGCAATGGAGTGTATATTCAACCACCTTGCATCCCAGGGATAAATCCCACTTTGTTATGATGAATGATCTTTCTGATGTATTGTTGAATTTGGTTTGCTAGTCTTTCTTTGAACATTTTTGCATCAATATTTATCAGAGATATTGGCCTGTAGGTTTCTTTTTTTGATGTGTTTTTGTCTGCTTTTGGTATCTGGGTAATTCTGGCCTTATAGAATGAGTTTGGAAGCATTGTCTTCTCCTCTATTTTTCAGAATATTTTGAGTAGGATTGGTATTAGTTCTTTAAATATTTGATAGAATTCAGCAGTGAACTTCAGGCCCTCTGCTTTTCTTTACTGGAAGACTTTTTATTAAGGCTTTGATCTTTTTAATTTTTATTGGACTATACAAGTTTTAGATTTCTTTGTGTTTCAATACTGGTAGGTTATATGTATATAGAAATTTGTCCACTTCTTCTGGATTTTCCAAATTATTGGCATATAGTTGCTCACAGTAGCCTCTAATGATCCTTTGAATTTCTGCAGCATCAGTTGTAATGTCTCCTCTTTAATTTCTGATTTTCTTGATTTATTCAGATCTTCTCTTTTTCTTATTTAGTCTGGCTAAAAGTTGGTCAATTTTGTATAACTTTTCACGAAACCAACTTTTTGTTTCATTGATCTTTTATTTTTTATTTCAATTTCATTTATTCTCTGATTTTTATTATTTATTTTCTTCTAAGTTTTGGGTTCAGTTTTCTCTTGCCTTTCTACTTCTTTAAGACGCATCATTAGATTGTTTATTTGAAGTTTTTTTTCTCTTTTTTGATGTGGTCACGTATAGCTATAAACTTTCCTATTGGTACTTCTTTTGCTGTATCCCATAAGTTTTGATATGTTGTATTTTCATTATCATTTGTTTCAAGAATTTTTTTCAATTTTCTTCTCAATTTCTTCATTAACTGGTCATTAAGAAGCATATTGTTTAACTATCATTTATTTGTATAGTTTCCAAAATTCCTCTTTTTATTGATTTCTAGTTTTATTTCTATTGTGGTTAGAGAAGATACTTGAGGTCATTTTAATTTTATTGAATGTTTTAAAACTTGTTTATGACCTAACATATGATCTATCATTGAGAAAAATTCGTGGGCTGAGGAAAAGAATGTGTATTCTGCAGGTTTTGGATGAAATGTTCTATAAATAACTATTAGATCCATTTGGTCTATGGTGCAGATTAAGTTTCATGTTTATTTGTTGATTTTATCTGTGGAAGATCAGTCCAACGTTTAAAGTGGGGTGTTGAAGCCTCCAGCTACTATTTTATTAGGGGCTTATCTCTATGTTTACCTCTAATAATATTTTCTTTATATATCTGCGTGCTCCAGTGTTGGGTGCATATTTAAGATTGTTATATTCTCTTGCTGAGTTTACTCTGTTGTTATTGTGTAGTAACCTTCTAGGTCTTTTCTTACAGTTTTTCTCTTGAAATATATTTTGTCTTATATAATTATAATAACTTCTGCTCTTCTTTGTTTTCCTTGGAATGGAATTTAAAAAAATTTTTTTTCAGTCCATGTGTGTCTTTGTATGTGAACTGTATGTCTTGTAGGCAACAGATCAATGGTTTTGTTTTTTCTTCTTTTCAGCCAGTCTATATCTTTTGATTGGAGAGTTTAGTCTATTTACATTCAACGTTATTATTGATAAGAAAGGACTTATTCCTGCCATTTTTAAAAATTTGTTTTCCAGTTGTTTGTTGTCTTCTCTTCATTTTTTTTATTCCTGTCTTCCTCTAGTGAAAATAGTCTTCTCTGGTAATATGATTTAGTTTCTTGCTTTTTACTTTTTGTGTATTCATTGTATGCTTTTTGGTTTAAGGTAACTATGAGGCTTGCAAATACTTTTTTATAATCCATTATTTTAACCTGATAGCAAATTAACACCTTTTACATAAACAAACAATCAAAAAGAAAACAATAAAAACTTACCTCAAATTAGTCCCCTTGCCTTTCACCTTTTTGTTGTTTCTATTTATATCTTATTGTACTATGTCTTGAAGAGCTGTAGTTATTATTTTTGATTTGTTCATCATTTAGTCTGTCTATTTTGGAAAATAGTTCACACACCACATTACAGCGTCATAATATTCTCTGGTTTTCTGTGTACTTACCATTACCAGTGAGTCTTTTACCTTCAGGTGACTATTTATTGCTCATTAATGTCCTTTTCTTTCTGATTGAAGTATTCCCTTTAGCATTTCTTGTAAGTCAGGTGTGGTATTGATGAAATACCTTTGCTTTTGTTTTTCTGGAAAAGTTCTTATTTCTCCTTCATGTTTGAAAGATATTTTCACCAAATATACTATTTTAATGTACCTTTTTCCTCACCACTTTAAATATGTTATGTCACTCCCTTCAGGCCAGTAGGGTTTCCATTGAAAGGTCTGCTGCCAGATGTATAGGAGCTCCATTGTATGTTATTTGTTTCTCCTCCCTTGCTGCTTTTAAAATCTTTTCTTTCTTCTTGTGCTTTGAAAGTTTGAATATCAAATGCTTTGAGGTTGTCTTCTTTGGGTTAAATCTTCCTTGCGTTCTATAACCTTCTTATACTATGATATTGATATTTTCCTCTCTGTTGGAGAAGTTCTCTGTTATTATCCCTTTGAATAAATTTCTACCTCTGTCTCCTTCTCTACCTTCTCTTTAAGGCCAATACCTCTTAGATTTTCCCTTTTGAGGCTATTTTCTACATCATATAGGTGTGCTTCATTGTTTTTTAGTCTTTTTTTTTGTTTTGTCTCATTTCTGTATTTTCAAATAACCTGTCTTCAAGCTCACTAATTTTTTCTTCTGCTTGAATCATTCTGCTATTAAGGGACTTTGATGCATTCTTCAGTATGCCAGTTAGATTTATTACCCCCAGAATTTCTGCTTGATTCTTTTTAACGATTTAAATTAATCTGTTAGAATTCTGAATTTCTTCTGTGTGTTATCTTGAATTTCTTTGAGTCTCCTCAACACAGCTATTTTGAATTCTCTGTCTGAAAGTTTGCATATCTTGCTTTCTTCGGTATTGCTTCCTGGTGGCTTTAGTTCATTTGGCAAGATCACATTTTCATGCATGGTTTTGATTCTAGTAGATGGTATTTAGTTTCTGGGCATTGAAAAGTTGGGTATCTATTATGGTCTTCACAGTCTGGACTTACTGGTAGCCACCTTTCTTGGAAAGGCTTTCCAGGATTTAAGTGTTGATATAAGTTGTTTCTACTTTAGAAGGCAACCCAGGCCCAGTAATGCTGTGTTTTTTGTAGACTTGCAGAGGTACCACCTTGATGGACTTGGACAAGATCTGGAGACTTCTCTTGATTGCCAGGCAGAGACTCTTGTCCTTTACCCTTCCTTTCTCTGAAATATATACAGTCTTATTTTCTGTTCTGAGCCACCTAACCTGGGGGTGGAGTGACACAAACACTCCTGTTTGTGCCACCACTATGACTGTGCTGGGTCAGACCTGAAGCCAGCACAGCACTGGGTCTCACCCAAGGCTTGCTGTAAATGCTCCCTGGCTACTGCCTATATTTTCTCAAGGCCCTGGGGCTCTACAATCATCAGATGGTAAAGCCAGTCATGCCTGTGTCAGTTGTTTCAGGGCAGCGAGGTTCCCCAGGGCTTGGGTGCATCCAGAAGTGCCATCTGGGACTCAGGGACTAGATTAAAAAACCTTAGAAGTCTACCTGGTATTCTATTGTATTTCAGCTGAGATGGCATTCAAACCACAAGATGCAGTCCTACCCACTCTTTCTTTCTCTTACCAGAGGCAGAGGAGCCTTGCCTTGTTGCCACCACCACCTTGGGCCATGAGAAGTACTGCCAGACTATCACCAATGTTCCCTTAAGCCCCAAAGACTCTTAAGTTAGATTGTGGTAAGTGCCACCTGGCCTGGGACTCACGTTTCAGGTCAGTAGGCTCCCCTTTGGCCCAGTATAGGTCCAGAAATGTGCCCCAAGAGTCAAGTTCTGTAATTGGGAAACTTCAGAGCATACTTGGTATTCTACCTCCCTGTGGCAGTGTTGGTACCTGAAGCCAGCATGTTTCAGAGGCTCACTGAGGTCCTCAAAGTAGTACCCGGGTCGCACTAATAATTATTCATGCATCAAGGGCTCTTCAATTAGAAGGTGATGAATGCTGGCAAGACTGGGTTCTTTCTTTCAAGACAGCAGCTTCTTTTCTGACCCGGGATGTGTCTACAAATGTCTCCTGGGTGCTTGTACCTGGAATGGGGCCTCACAACTCTGATCAGTGCCCTTTCTTGCTGTGGCTGAGCTAGTATCCAAGATGCATGACAAAATCCTCCCTCTCCTCACCTCAAGTACATTGACATAAGTAATGCACAAAGGTTCCAGTCTCTCCACATCTTCTCCAAATCTGTTATTTTCTCTTTTTTAAAAAAATAATAAGCCATCTTATTAGGTGTGAAGTGGCATAGAATTGTGGGTTTGATTTACATTTCTCTAATGGTTAATGATGTTGAGCATCTTTTCGTGTGCTTATTGGCTATTTGTATATTATCTTTAGAGAAATATCTATGTAAGTTCTTTGCACAGTTTTTTAATTTAGTTGTTATGTTTTCATTGAGTGGGTAATTTTTATATAGTCTGGATGTTAATACATTATCAGATATATGATTTGCAAATTTCATCATATTTTTATTGCACAGAAGTTTTTAATTTTGAAGAATTCCAACTTATCTATTCTTTTATTGTTGCCTTTGTTTCTGTGTTATGTCAAAAAATGTTGCCAAATCCAATATCATGAAGCTTTTACCCTATGATTATTTCAAATATTTTAGAATGTTGGCTTCTATGTTAGGACTTTGATTCTTTTTGAATTAATTTTTGTACTTAGCAAAAAATAATAATTTAACTTCACTTTTTTTGGATATGTAGGTTTCCCAATACTAATTATTGAAAAAATGGTATTTTCATGCTTGAATATTTTTGATAGACTTGTTGAAAACAATTTCCATATACACAGAAGTGTATTTCTAAGCTCTCAGTTTTATTCAATTGGTGTATATGTCTTTCTTTATGCCATTACTAAGCTGTTTCGTTTGGTGTATTCTTTTTTTTTTTTTTTTTTTTTTTGGTTTTGAGACGCAGTCTTGCTCTGTCACCCAGGCTGGAGTGCAATGATGTGATCTCTGCTCACTGCAACCTCCACCTCCCAGTTTCAAGCAATTCTACTGCCTCAGCCACCTGAGTAACTGGGATTACAGGTGCCCGCCATGACACCTAGCTAATGTTTGTATTTTTAGAAGAGACAGGGTTTCACAATGTTGATCAGGCTGGTCTTGAACTCCTGACCTCAGGTGATCCAACCACCTCGGCCTCCCAAAGTGTTGAGATTACAGGCATCAGCCACCACACCCAGCCTGTTTGGTGTAATTTCGTAGTATGTTTTGAAATTAGTAGTGGTGTCTCTCTGCACAAGGCATCTCTGAAAGAAAGGCAGCAGCTCCAATCAGGGGCTTATACACAAAACTCCCATTTCCCTGGGACAAAGCACCTGAGGGAAGGGGCAGCTGTGGGTGCAGATTCAGCAGACAAACGTTCCTGCCTGCCAGCTCTGAAGAGAGCAGCAGATCTCCCAGCACAGCGCTCAAGCTCTGCTAAGGGACAGACTGTCTCCTCAAGTGAGTCCCTGACCCCCGTGCCTCCTGACTGACAGAAGCCTCTGAGCAGAGGTCAACAGACACCTCATACAGCAGAGCTCTGGCTGGCATCTGGCAGGTACCCCTCTGGGATGAAGCTTCCCTTCCAGAAGAAGGAACTGGCAGCAATCTTTGCTGTTCTGCAGCCTCCATTGGTGATACCCAGGCAAACAGGATCTGGAGTGGACCTCCAGAAAACTCCAGCAGACCTGCAGCAGAGGGGCCTGACTGTTAGAGGGAAAAATAACAAACAGAAAGGAATTGCATCAACATCAACAAAAAGGACGTCTACACAAAAAACCCATCTGAAGGTTACCAACAGCGAAGAACAAAGGTAGATAAATTCATGAAGATGAGGAATAACCAGTGGAAAAAGGCTGAAAATTCCAAAAACCAGAACACCTCTTCTCCTCCAAAGGATCACAACTCCTCACCAGCAAGGGAAAAAAGCTGGATGGAGAATGAGTTTGATGAATTTACAGAAGTAGGCTTCAGAAGGTAGGTAATAACAAACGCCTCCGAGCTAAAGGAGCATGTTCTAACCCAATGCAGGGAAGCTAATAACCTTGAAAAAAAAAAGGTTAGAGGAATTGATAACCAGAAAAACTAGTTTAGAGAAGAAAACTGATGACCTGATGGAGCTGAAAAACACAGCACGAGAACTTCATGAAGCATACACAAGTATCAACAGCTGAATTGATCAAGTGGAAGAAAGGAATTCAGAGATTGAAGATCAGCTTAAGGAAATAAAACATGAAGACAAGATTAGAGAGAAAAGAATGTAAAGGAATGAGCAAAGCCTCCAAGAAACACAGGACTATCTGAAAAGACCAAACCTACATTTGATTGGTGTACCTGAAAGTGACAGGGAGAATGGAACTAAGTTGGAAAACACATTTCAGCATATTATCCAGAAGAATTTCCCCAACCTAGCAAGACAGGCCAACATTCAAATTCAGGAAATACAGAGAACACCACAAAGATACTCCTCGAGAAGAGCAACCCTAAGACACATAATCATCAGATTCACCCAGGTTGAAATGAAGGAAAAAAAGTTAAGGGCAGCCAGAAAGTTCAGGTTACCACAAAAGGAAGTCCATCAGACTAACAGCGGATGTCTCTGAAGAAACCCTACAAGCCAGAAGAGAATTGGGGGCCGATATTCAACATTTTTTAAAAATAAGAATTTTCAACCCACAATTTCATATCCAGCCAAATTAAGCTTCATAACTGAAAGAGAAATAAAATCCCCTACAGACAAGCAAATGCTGAGAGATTTTGTCACCACCTGGTCAGCCTTACAAGAGCTCCTGAAGGAAGCACTAAATACAGAAGGGAAAAACCGGTACCAACCACTGCAAAAACATGCCATGTTTTAGAGACCATCGACATTCTGAAGAAACTGCATCAACTAACAGGCAAAATAGCAAGCTAGCATCATAATAGCAGGATCAAAGTCACACATAACAATACAAACATTAAATGTAAATGGGCTAAATTCCCCAATTAAAAGACACAGACTAGCAAGTAGGATAAAGAGTCAAGACCCATCCATGTGCTCTATTCAGAAGACCATCTCACGTGTAAAAAAAGACATAAGCTTAAAATAAAGGGATGGAGGAATATTTACCAAGCAAATGGAAAGAAAAAAAAGCAGGGGGTTGCAATTCTAGTCTCTGATAAAGCAGACTTTAAACCAATAAAGATCAAAAAAGACAAAGAAGAGCATTACATAATGGCAAAGGGATCAATGAAGCAAGAAGAGCTAACTATCCTAAATATATATTATATATATATATATATATATATACACACACACACACACCCAATACAGGAGCACCCACATTAATAAAGCAAGTTCTTAGAGACCTACAAAGATACTTGGACTCCCACACAATAATAGTGGGAGACTTTAACATCCCACTGTCAATATTAGAAAGATCAACAAGACAGAAAATTCACAAGGATATTCAGGACTTGAACTCAGCTCTGGACCAAGTGGAACTAATAATAGACATCTACAGAACTCTCCACCCTAAATCAACAGAAGATACATTCTTCTCAGCACCACATTGCACTTATTCTAAAATTGACCACATAATTGGAAGAAAAACACTCCTCAGCAAATGCAAAATAATGGAAATCATAACAATCAGTCTCACGGGCTACAGTGCAATCAAATTAGAACTCAAGATTAAAAAACTCACTCAAAACCGCACAACTACATGGAAACTGAACAACCTGCTCCTGAATGACTACTGGGTAAATAACAAAAGGAAGGTGAACTAAATAAGTTTTTTGAACCCAGTGAGAACTAAAACACAACATACCAGAATCTCTGGGGCAAAGCTAAAGCAGTGTATAGAGGGAAATTTATAGCATGAAATGCCCACAGGAGAAAGCGGGAAAGATCTAAAATCGACACTCTAACATCACAATTAAAAGAACTAGAGAAGCAAGGACAAACAAATTCAAAAGATAGCAGAAGACAAGAAATAACTAAGATCAGAGCAGAACTGAAGGAGATAGAGACACAAAAAAAACCCTTCAAAAAATCAATGAATCCAGGAGCTGGTTTTTTGAAAAGATTAACAAAATAGATAGACTGCTAGCCAGAATAATAAAGAAGAAAAGAGAGAAGAATCAAATAGACACAATAAAATGTATAAAGGGGATATTACCACTGATCCCACAGAAATAAAAACTACCATCAGAGGCTACTATAAACACTTCTATGCAAATAAACTAGAATATCTAGAAGAAATGGCTAAATTCTGGACACATACACTATCCCAAGTCTAAACCAGGAAGAAGTTGAATCCCTAAATAGACCAAAACAGTTCTGAAATTGAGGCAGTAATTAATAGCCTACTAACCAAAAAAAAAAGCCTAGGACCAGATGAATTCACAGCCAAATTCTACCAGAGGTACAAAGAGGAGCTGGTACCATTCCTTCTGAAATTATTTCAAACAATAGAAAAAGAGGGACTCCTCCCTAACTCATTTTATGAGGCCAGCATCATCCTGATACTAAAATCTGGCAGAGATACAACAAAAAAAGACAATTTCAGGCCAACATCCCTGATGAACGTAGATGCAAAGATCCTCAATAAAATACTGGCAAACCAAATCCAGCAGAACATCAAAAAGCTTATCCACCATGATCAAGTTGGCTTCATCCCTGGGATGCAAGTCTGGTTCAACGTATGCAAATAAATACATGTAATCCATCACACAAACAGAAGCAATGACAAAAAACACTTGATTATCTCAATAGATGCAGAAAAGTCCTTCAATAAAATTCAAAACCCCTTCATGCCAAAAACTCTCAATAAACTAGGTATTGATGGAATATATCTCAAAATAATAAGAGCTATTTATGACAAACCCACAGACAATATCATACTCAATGGGCCAAAGCTGGAAGCTTTCCCTTTGAAAACTAGCACAAGACAAGGATGCCCTCTCTCACCACTCCTATTCAACATAGTATTGGAAGTTCTGGCTAGGGCAATCAGGCAAGAGAAAGAAACAAAGCGTATTCAAATAGGAAGAGAGGAAGTCAAATTGTCTCTGTTTGCAGGTAACATGATTATACATTTAGAAAACCCCATTGTCTCAGCCCAAAATCTCCATAAGCTGATAAGCAACTTCAGCAAAGTCTCAGGACACAAATCACACAAATCAATGTACAAAAATCACAAGCATTCCTATACACCAATAACAGACAAACAGAGAGCCAAATCATGAGTGAATTCCCATTCACAATTGCTACAGAGAGACTAAAATACTTAGGAATAAAACTTACAAGGGATGTGAAAACTTACAAAGGATGTGTCTTCAAGGAGAACTACAAACCACTGCTCAAGGAAATAAGAGAGGACACAAACAAATGAAAAAAATTCCATGCTCATGGATAAGAAGAATCAGTATAAGTGAAAATGGCCATACTGCCCAAAGTAATTTATAGATTCAATGCTATCCCCATCAAGCAACAACTGACTTTCTTCACAAAATTAAAAAAAAAAAAAACTAAGTTTCATTTGGAACCAAAAAGAGCCCATATAGCCAAGACAATCCTAAGCAAAAAGAACAAAACTGGAGGCATCATGCTACCTGACTTCAAACTGTACTACAAGGCTACAGTAACCAAAACAGCATGGTACTGGTGCCACAACAGATATATAGACCAATGGAACAGAACAGAGGCCTCAGAGATAATGCCACATATCTACAACCATCTGATCTTTGACAAATCTGACAAAAACAAGCAATGGGGAAATGATTCCCTATGTAATAAGTGGTGTTGGAAAACTGGCTAGCCATATGCAGAAAACTGAAACTGGACCCCTACCTTACACCTTATACAAAAATTCACTCAAGATGGATGAAAGACTTAAACGTAAGATCTAAAACCATAAAAACCCTAGAAGAAAACCTCGGTAATACCATTCAAGACATAGTCATGGGCAAAGACTTCAGGACTAAAACACCGAAATCAATGGCAACAAAAGCCAAAATTGACAAATGGGATCTAACTAAATTAAAGAGCTTCTGCACAGCAAAAGAAACTATCATCAGAGTGAACAGGCAACCTACAGAATGGGAGAACATTTTTGCAATCTATCCACCTGACAAAGGGCTAATATCCAGAAGCTACAAGGAACTTAAACAAATCTACAAGAAGAAAAAAAAATCCAATCAAAAAGTGGGCAAAGGATATGAACAGACAGTTCTCAAAAGAAGACATTTTTGCAGCCAACAAACATATGAAAAAAAACCCATCACCACTGGTCTTTAGAGAAACACAAATCAAAACCACAATGTGATACCATTTCACGCCAGTTAGAATGGCAATCATTAAAAAGTCAGGAAACAACAGATGCTGAAGAGGATGTGGAGAAGTAGGAACGCTTTTACACTGTTAGTGGGAGTGTGAATTAGTTCAACCATCGTGGAAGACAGTGTGGCGATCCCTCAAGGATCTAGAACCAGAAATACCATTTGACCCAGCAATTTCATTACTGAGTATATACCCAAAGGACTATAAATTCTTCTACTATAAAGACACATGCACACGTATGTTTATTGCAGCACTGTTTACAATAGCAAAGACTTGGAACCAACAGAAATGCCCATCAATAATAGACTGGATAAAGAAAATATGGCACATATATACCATGGAATACTATGCAGCTATAAAAAATGATGAGTTCATGTACTTTGCAGGGACATGGATGAAGCTGGAAACCATCATTCTCAGCAGACAAACACAGGAACAGAAAACCAAACACCGCATGTTCTCACTCATAAGTGGGAGTTGAACAATGAGAACACGTGGACACAGGGAGGGGAACATCAGACACCAGGGCCTGTCAGGGGGTGGGGGCCTAGGGGAGGGATGGCATTAGGAGAAATACTTAATATAGATGATGGGTTGATGGGCCCAGCAAACCATCAAGGAACATGTATACCTATGTAACTAACCTGGACGTACTGCACATGTGTCCCAGAAATTAAAGTATAATAATAAAAAAAAAGAAATTAGGAGTTGTGAGACCCTTCAATTTAGTTTTTAATTTTTGAGGTGGTTTTGGTTACTCATGGTCACTCATGATTCCTTATAAACTTTATATAGACTTTCCTATTTCTGCAAAGAAAAAAAGTTTTTGGGATTTTGATAGAGACTGTACGGCATATGTAGATTACTTTAGAAGTATTGACATTTTTAACAATAATTAAATCTTCCAATTCATGAACATGCAATATCTTTCCCATGTTTGTATCTTCTTCAAGTCTTTCAGCAACATTTTGTAGTATTTATTTTACATGGGTTTTGCCACCTTGGTTAAGTTTAATTTTATGTATTTTATTCTGTTTTATACTAGAGTAAATAAAATTGCTTTCTTCATTTCTCTTCCAAATTGTTTTTTGCTAATGTATAAAAATACAATTAAATTTTATGCATTGATGTTGAATCCTACAGCTTTGATTAATTTGCTTATTAGTTCTAGCAGGGTTTTTATGGCATCTTTAGGGTTTTTGACATACAAGATCCGGTAGGGTAAAAACAGAGATAATTTTGTGTCTTTCTTGTTAATTTGGATGTCCCTTAGTCTTTTTCTTTTATATTTGCTCTAGCTATTATTTCTAGTACTATGTTGAATAACAGTGGTGAAAGTGGTCATCCTTAACATTTTCCTAATGTTTAAAGAAAAGTTTATTTTTTATTTTTTCACCAATAAATATAGTGTTAGCTCTTCTTACAGTCTTTATTCTTGGGATGCCAGGCTGATTTAATATATGCAAATAAAAAATGTGATTCACCACATAAACGGAATTTAAAACAAAAACCATATAATCATTGCAATAGACACAGATAATGCAATAGATAAAATCCAGCAACCTTTTATCATAAAATTTTTCAACAAACTAGGCATAGAAAGAACATACCTCAAAATAATAAAAACCATATATGACAAACCCACAGCCAACATTCTACTGAACAGGAAAAGTTTGAAAGCATTCACCCTAAGAACTGGAACAAAACAAGGATGCCTCCTTTCCCACTTCTATTTAACATAGTACTGGAAGTCATAGACAGAGGAATCAGGCAAAAAAGAAGTAAAGGCCTTCCAAATCAAAACATGAAGTCAAATTTTCTCTGTTGGCAGATGATATGATTCTATAATTAGAAATCCCTAAAGACTACTTCAAAAGACTTCTAGATATTATAAATGAATTTAGTAAAGTCTCAGGTTACAAAATCAATGTGCACAAATCAGTAGCACGGATATACACCTACAGCAGTCAAGCTGGGAATTAAATCAAGAAGTTGATCTCTTTCACAATAGCTGCAAAAAAATATAATACCTAGGAATATACTTAACCAAGGAAGTAAAGGATCTCTACAGGGATAACTACAAAACACTGCTGAAAAAAAAAATCAGATATGATGCAATCCAAGAGAAATGCATCCTATGCTCATGGATTAGAAGAATAAATATTGCAAAAATAAACATACTGCCAAAAGCCACTCATAAATTCAATGCAATTTCCATCAAAATACCAACATCGTTTTACAAAATCAAAAAAGCAATCACAAAATTTATATCAAACCACAAAAGCCTGAAAAGCCAAAGCAATCTTAAGCAAAAAGATCAAATCTGGAGGAATAACGTTACCTGACTTAAAATTATGCTATGAGGCTATAGTAACCAAAACAGCATGGTACTGGCATAAAAGTACCATGGCATAGAGCAGTGGAACACAAGAGAGAACCCAGGAATAAAGCCAAATACTACAACCAACTGATCTTTGACAAAACATAGAAAACATAAATTGGGGAAAGGACACCCTATTTAATAAATATGTTGAGAAAACTGAATAGCCACGTGTAGATGAATGAAATTGGATTCCCATCTCTCTCCACATACAAAAAACCAACTCAAGATGGATTAAAGACATAAATCTGAGACCTGAAAACAAACAAACAAGAAATCTAGAAGAAAGCCTAGGAAAAACTCTTATGACATTGGCCTAGGCAAATAATTTATAATTAAGACCCCAAAAGCAAATGCAACAAAAACAAAAATAAATAAATGGGAACTAATTAAAACTTTGGCACAGCAAAAGAAATAATCATTAGACAGGTAACTAACAGATTGGGCGAAAACATTTGTAAACTATGCATCTGACAAAGGACTAATATCCAGAATCTACAAGGAATTCAAATCAGTGAGAAAAAAACAAATAATCCCATTAAAAGAGGGACAAATGACATGAATTGATATTTCTTATAAGAAGATATACAAATGTCCAACAAACAGATGAAAAATGTTCAACATCACTAATCATCTTGGAAATGCTAATTAAAATCACAATGAGAATATCACCTTATCCCAGCCAGAATTGTCATCATTAAAAAGTCAAAAAACAATAGATGTTGGTATGGATGTGTTTGAAAGGGAATATGTATACACTGCTGGTGGGAATGTAAATTAGTAATGCCTCTATGGAAAATATTAATAATGAATTAAAAATGAATTTACCAAGTGATTCAGCAATACCAATACTGGGTATCTACCCAAAGGAAAAGCAGTCATTATATAAAAAATACAGCTGCATGCATATGTTTATCACAGCACAATTCACAATTACAAAGCTAAGTGTCCATCAACCAATTAGTGGATAAAATCATAGAGTATTATATATGCATCATTGAATACTACTCAGTCATAAAAAAGAACAAATAATGTCTTTTGCAGCAACTTGGATAGAACTGGAGGCCATTCTAAATGAAATATTAATAACTCAGGAATGAAAAGCCAAATACTGCTTGTTCTCACTCATAAGTGGGAGCTAAGCTATGGATATGCAAAGGCATACAGAGTGGTATAATGTACATTGGAGACTCAGAAGTGGGTAGGGTGGGAGGGGAGTGAGGGATAAATAAAACTACTTATGGAGAACAATATACACTACTCATGTGATGGGTGCAGAAAAGTTTCAGACTTCATCACTATACAATTCATCTATGTAACCAAAAACTACTTGTACCCCTAAAGCCATTGAAATAAAAATAAATAAAAAATAATTTTAGCTGTGGGTTTTTCATATATAGCCTTTATTATATTGAGGTAATATTCTTCTGTTCATATTTTGTTGAATGTTTGTATCATGAAAGGTTGTTGAATTTCTCAAATGTCTTTTCTGTGTCTAATTGATATGATCATGTTTTTTTTCTTCATTATGTTAATGTGGCATATTACATTAACTTATTTAAATATTGTACTGTTGTAACATTCCAGGAAATAATTCTACTTGTTTATGGTGTATAATCCTTTTAATATGCTGTTGAATTAATTTGATGATATTTTGCTGAGGATTTTTACATCAATATTCATAAGAAATATGGCCTGTAGGCTGGGCAAGGTGGCTCACGCCTGTAATCCCAGCACTTTGGGAGGCTGAGGCGGGCAGATCACGAGGTCAGGAGTTCGAGACCAGCCTGACCAACATGGTGAAACTCCGCCTCTACTAAATACAAAAATAAGCTGGGCGTGGTGGCGTGCGCCTCTAATCCCAGCTACTCAGGAAGCTGAGGCAGGAGAATTGCTTGAACCCGGGAGGCAGAGGTTGCAGTGAGCTGAGATCGCGCCATTGCACTCCAGCCCAGCCTGGGCGACAGAGTGAGACTCCATCTCAAAAAAAAAAAAAAAAAAAAAAAAAAAAAGGAAATATGGCCTGTAGTATTCTTTTAAAATGATTGTCTAACTTTTGTATCATGGCAATGCTGGCTTTATACAAGAGCTTAGGAAGTGTTCCATCATCTCCAAGTTTTAGAAAATTTTGGAAAGGACTGATGTTCTTTTTTATATGTTTCATAGAATTCATCAGTAAAACCATGCAGTCTTGGACTTTTCTTCACTGGTCTGTGATTACTGATTCATCTTCATTATCCATTACAGACATCCAAATTTTCTTTTTTTATGATTCAATATTGGTAGTGTTTGTATTTCTAGGAATTTGTCTACTTTATGTAGGCCTTCCATTTCACCAGTGTAAAACTCTATAAGATACTCTCTTACCATTCTTTTTATTTCTATAAAATTCCTAGCATGTTGAATGATCTTTTTAAAGTATTGTTTAATTCAATTTGCTTGTATTTTGCTGAGGATTTTTGCATCAATATTCAGTGATATTGGCCTATAGTTTCCTTTCTTTAATGTGTCTTTGGTTTTACAATCAGGATGATACTAGCCTTCTAGAATAAATTTGGAATAATTTTGGAATAGTTTGTGTAGAATTAGTATTAGTTCTTTTTTAAAAGTTTGGTAGAATTTAGCAGTGAAGCCATTGGGTCCTAGGCTTTTCTCTACTGGGAGATTTTTTTATTATGGCTTCAATCTCCTTGTTATTTGTCTGATCAGGTTTTGGATCTCTTTATGGTTCAATCTTGGTAGGTTTTATGTGTCTAGGAATGTATACTTTTTTTCTGAGTTTTCCAATTTATTGGCAAATAATTGCTCATGGTAGCAACTAATGATCCTTTGAAGTTCTGTGCTATTGGTTGTAATATCTCCCTTTTCAACTCTGATTTTATTTATTTTGGTCTTCTCTTTTTTTTATTAGATAGTATGGCTAAAGATTTGTCAATTTTGTTTAACTTTTCACAGAACTTTCTTTCATTGATCTTTTTTAACGTTTTTCTTTATTTCAGTTCCATTTATGTATGCTCTGATCTTTGTGTTTTTTCTACTATTATTTTTGGGTTTGGTTTGCTGTTGCTTTTCTACTTCTTTAAGCTGTGTCATTAGATTGTTTATTTGAAGTTTTTCCTATTTTTGGTATAGGAACTTACAGCTATAAACTTTCCTATTAGTACTGCTTTTGCTGTGTCCCATAGATTTGGGTATGTGGCTCTTCTGTTAACATTTGTTTCAAGAAATTTTTCAGTTTCCTTTGTAATTTCTTTATTGACCCTGCTGTCACTCAGGAGCATATTGTTTAATTTACATGTGTTTGTAAAGTTTCCAAAATTATTCTTGTTATTGATTTCTAATTTTATTCTGTGGTGGTCAGAGAAGATACTTGAAATTAGTACAATTTTCTGATGTTCTAAAGCTTTTTTAGTAAGCTAACATATGAACTATCTTTGTGCTGAGGAAAACAATTTGTATTCTGCAGCCACTGGAATGAAATGTTCTGTAGGTATATTTGCTCTATAGTGCAGATTAATTCTAATGTCTCTTTGTTGATTTTCTAGTGGGGAGATCTGTCCAATACTGAAAGTGGGTTGCTGAAGTCTCAGGTATTATTGTATTGGAGTCTGTCTCTCTCTTTAACTCTTATAATATTTGCTTTATATAGCTGAATGTTCCAGTGTTGGATGCATATAATTGTTATAATCTCCTGCTGAATTGACCCCTTTATTGTTATATAGTCATCTTTTTTCTTAGAGTTTTTTTTTCTTGAAATATATTTCATCTGATAAAAGTATAGCTACTTATGGTCTTTTTTGTTTTCACTTGGCATGGAATATCTATTTCATCCCTTTATTATACGTGTATGTGTGTCTTTATAGGTACAGTGCATTTCTTCTACGCAACAAATGACTGGGTCTTGTTTTTTTGTTGTTTGTTTGTTTTCATTCCACCACTCTATGTCATTTGCTAGAGAGATTAGGCCATTTACACTTAACATTTTCACTAATTAAGTAAGGACTTATTTCAGCCATTTTGTTATTTGTTTTCTTGTGGTTTTCTGTTCTTCTATTTTGTTCTCCTTCTGTTTTGTTTTCCTTTACATAAAGTTGATTTTCTCTGGTGATATGATTTTATGTCTTGCTTATTGTTTTTGTGTATCCACTATACATTTTTTTATTTGAAATTACCATGAGGCTTGCAAATACTATCTTATAACCCATTATTTTAAGCTGATAAAAACTTAACACTGTTTGCATAAACAAACAATGAAAAAGAAAACTAATACAAACTATCCATTTTAATTTTGTCCGTCTGCTTTTTAACATTTTGTTGTTTCTATTTATATCTTATTGTACTACCTACAGGTTGAAAAGTTCCTGTAGTTATTTTTGAATGGTTCACCTTTTAGGTTTTCTACTTAAGATAAGCATAGCTTACACAACACAGTTACAGAATGACAATATTCTGTGTTTATCTGTGTACTTACAATTACCAGTAAGTTTTGTTCCTTCTGATGATTTCTTGTTGCTAATTAACATCCACTTTTTTTTCCTGATGAAAGTGCTCCCTTAAGCATTTCTTGCAGGAAAAGCGTCGTGCTGATGAAACACCAGACTTTGGCTTTTCTTTGTCTTGGAAACTCTTTATTTTTCCTTCATGATTGAAGGATATTTTCACCAGATATGTGATTCTAGCATAAACATTTCTTTCCTTCAGCACCTTGAAGATGTCATGCCACTCTCTCCTGGCCTGTAAGGTTTTCACTGAGAAGTCTGCTGCCAGACATATTGCAGATCCATTGTATGTTATTTGTTTCTTTTCTTCTGCCTCTTTTAGGATCCTGTCTTTAACCGTGGACTTTGGGAGTTTGACTTTTAACTCCCTGGAGGCAGTTTTTGTTGCTTTTAATCTGCTTGGTGTTCTAAAACCTTCTTGTACTTGGATATTGATACCTTTCCCTAGGTCCAGGATATTCTATGATATTATCCCTTTGAATGAACTTTTTACCCCATCTCTTTCTCTACCTCCTCTTTAAGGCCAATAACTCTTAGATTCGCCCTTTTGTGACCATTTTCTAGATCCCATAGGCTTGCTTCATTGTTTTTTATTTTTTCTTTTGTCTTCTCTAACTGTGTGTTTTCCAATAGCCTGTCTTTAAGGTTACTAATTCTTCTGCTTGATCTATTTTGTTCTTAAAGGACTATGATGTATTGTTCAGTATGCCAAATGCATTTTTTTCAGCTCCAGAATTTCTGCTTGATTAAAAAAATTTCAATCTATTAAGTTTATCTGTTAGAATTTTGAATTCTTTCTCTGTGTTATCTTGAATTTTTCTGAGTTTTCTCAAAATATCCATTTTGTATTCTCTGCCTGAAAGGTCACATATTTCTCTTTCTCCAGGATTGGTTTCTAGTGCCTTATTTATTTTGTTTGCTGAGGTCATCTTTTCCCGGATGGTCTTGATGCTTGTGGATGTTCATCTGTGTCTGGTCATCGAAGAATTGTGTATTTACTGTTGTCTTCATAGTCTGGGTTTTTTGTACCTGTCCTTCTTGGGAAGGTTTTCCAGGTAGTTGAAAGGACATGGATGGTATGATCTAAGCTGTATCTGCATTAGGAGGCATAACAAGCTTAGTAATATTGTGGTTTTTGCAGACTAGAGGCACTGCCTTTATAGTCTTGGACAAGATCTGGGAGAATTCTCTAGATTACCAGCCGGAGATTCTTGTTCTCTTCCCTTACTTTCTCCCAAACAAATGGAGTCTTTCTGCTCTGAGTCATCTGGAGCTGTGGGTGGCATAGCACAAGCACCTCTGTTGCCACCACCACTGGGACAGTGCTGGGGCAGGCCTGAAGCCAGCACAACACCCGGTCTCACCCAAGGCCCAGGCCTTGGGTAGGACCAGGGGCACTATCTGGGAGCCAGGGCCATGAGTTTAACATTGTATAAGTTTGCCTGATGTTCTACTTTATTGTGGGTGGCCTGGCACTCAAATAATGAGACAGTTTTTTGGACTCTTCCTTCCCCTTTCTACAAGCAGCAGAACATCACCCTTTGGCCACAGCTACCACAGGCCCACAGGAAGTACTGCCAAGCTATTGCTGATAGTCCCTTAAGGCCCAAGGGGTGTTCAGTCAGTTTGCTGTAAATGTTGCCTGGTCTAGGACACATCCTTCAAGGCAATGAGATTCCCTCTGGCTCAGGACAGGTCCAGAAATGCCATCCAAGAGGAAAGGTCCAGAATAAGGAACCCCAAGAGCCTGCTTGGTGATCTACTCACCTGTGGCTGAACAACCAGCTCAATTTTGGATTGAAGATATCAATAGTTCACTTTATCTTCCTAACAGAGAAAAAGGGGAATCTTCCCTTGTGAGATAAAAACACAAAAATATCATATGAAGCTTCTTTTTCTTGGTACACGTTATAATCAGCATACAACAAAAAATTCTGGAAATACAAAGAGGCAGAAAAATATGGCAAATAAGCAAGAGAAAAAGAAACAATAGATGCAGATGCACACATGATCCAGATAATGAGTTAGCAGAAAAACAGTTTAAAATAACTATAATTGATATGCACATTCAAAAGATGATTTACAAGGTAAGTGAAAAAGAGAATTTCAGCAAAATTTTGAATCTCAAGATAAGAACCAAATGAACATCCTGGAAATAAAACACATAATATTTGAAATTAGAAACTCAGTTATAAGTTTAATAATAGATTAGATAGCAGAACACAGGATTAATGAACTTGAACACACGTAAATAGAAAGTACTCAAACAGCACAGAGAGAACAGGTAATAGGGTGGAGGAGGAAACAGAACAAAGCCTAATAGCCAAGTGGAACATGCAATAACATATATACATATATATACATAAAATATATATGCTTATATGCGTATGTGTGTGTATATGTATGTATGTGTGTGTATATATACACAAACACACACACACATGTATTTGAAATTCTAGAAAGGAAAGAAAAATCATCCAGAATAGTCAAACAGACAGTGACCAACAACTTACCCAAACCAATGAAAGGTATCCCACAGATTCAAAAATTTAGTAAACTCCGAGAAAGATAAACACACACACACAAATATCTGGTCAAATCGTAATAAAATTGCTTTGAGAACAAAAGATGGAAAACTTAAAAGCATTCAGAGTAGGCATTAAATAAGTGGAAATTACTATAGAAACGACGAGTCCACAGGATGACTGCTAAGTAGAGATGGCAGAAGGCAGAAAAGAAAAATTGACGTATTTAGAATGTTGAAAGAAAATAACTGGCAACTTAGATCCCATATGACCTCATTTTGCATTCATTAGTTTTTAAAGGCCCTGTATACAAATACAATCACATTCTGAGGTAGTAGAGGTTAGGGCTTCAACATGAACTTTGGAGGACACAATTAAAACCATAATAACTTCTTGGATTTTGTAAGCATTTGCTTCAAAATTGTTAACTGTGGATGACATCACAACGTTCCAAAAGGGTAATAACTTGAGGGAAGTCTACTTCTATCACCTAAAGATGATCTACTATAAAATGAAATTTTACTTTATATTACAGCTCATATTACAGGTTTCCAATTGAAGGTATATTGTTAGCATTAGGTTTTCATGCTAAGAATTTTCAAAAATCAATTTTTGAGACCCTCCCCCGAGCTACAGGCTAACATATGTGTATGTGCATGTATAGTTTTTGCCTCTGTTCAAATTGATATTTTTCTCTCACCTACGTTCATTCAGAGTGCGTATCATCAATATTTATTTTGTAATCACCAAGCATACACTTTTGTGCCACCTTACTATCGTGCCCTTCAGATCTTGGTTTCTACATTTCTTTTTTAAAGAATCCTTTCTTGGCCCCGCACGGCGGCTCACACCTGTAATCCCAGCACTTTGGGAGGCTGAGGCGGGCGAATCACCTGAGGTCAGGAGTTCGAGACCAGCCTGGCTAACATGGTGAAACCCCCTTTCTACTAAAAATACAAAAAAGTAGCCAGGCATGGTGGTGCACGCCTATAATCCCAGCTACTCGGGAGGCTGAGGCAGGAGAATCGCTTGAACCTGGGAGGTGGAGGTTGCAGTGAGCCGAGATCGCGCCATTGCACTCTAGCTTGGGCAACAAGAGCAAAACTCCATCTCAAAAAAAAAAAAAGAATCTTTTCTTGACTCCCATCCTATACAACCCTGACTCATGACTAAAATAATATAGTGCCCTATATTCCATCTCTCAGCACTTATGGTAATTAATTGTGGATGCATTTATTCATTTACTATGTATCTCCTTCCTAGGTGATAAACTTCATGAAGACAGAGATACTGTTTTATTATCCATCATATACTCAATACCTGGCACATAGTAGAACTCAGTAAATATTTTTAAATAAATTATGTAAGATGGAAAGAAGTTAATACTATACTTTGAGTAGATACAGGGCTCTGTAGAGAAAATAAATTACTAATTGACAGCATGACTGGATCCTGTTATCTATAGCTGGTAGCTGCGAGTAGAAAACCACTGTGACAAAATCAATTTACTGGTCCAGTGTGCCCCAAACTTACTTGGTTATAATAATTATAAGGGATTTCTAATTGATACACTCTTTACCTATTCCCTCCCTTGAATATTTGGATATAGTTTTTAACAGTACGACTAGGGAATTTGTATTTTACCCAAAGTAAAGTTTATTTCATTGGGCTATTTTAAGCCTACGTGATACAAAATTTAAATTCAGAAGCAACTTTGAAGGAAAGATTTTTAAAAATAAAAACTTGTTAAATTAGTTATAGGAATATGAAATATTTTATTTTCTTTATTTAAAAGATCCACACAATGTTGTACATGATAAATACCTGCGCTTTTATCTGTCAATTAAAAATAATCTGTTTGAAATAATTTAAGAATATTTTATATATATATAATTTTCATTACCAGACTGAGGGGATGGGTATTTTTTTGAGGAATATCACAGAGATAGCATGCCATCTTCATCACATCATAGCCAGGAGCTTATGAAATACTGTGACTTGGTAATGAATAATCTTGATCACTTGGGCAAAGTGGTACTTACCAGGTTCACTCTCCAATTGCTATTGATCTCCTTGTATTTTCTGTTCTTTGGAAGCATGTCATTATATCAAGCTCACACTTAAAGGAGGGAAGGGGTTTAAACTTCATCTCCTGGGAGAAGGAGTATCTACGGATATTATTTGGAATTTTTCGGTTGGGGAAATTTACTTTTTCTCCTCCATTTATTTCCAATATTTAGCATGAAAGACAGAAATATTTTTAGTTGTCTCATCATTTACTTCTAAAAATAATCTGTGCTCCAACTTTATTTTTAGTACATGTTTATTAACTCAGTCCTCTTTCCTCTAAATTATACATACTCCAAATTTTACATTTACTTCCTATGAGTTACATTTGTGAAATGCTTGCATTTTTTTTTAATCAAAGTAAATAAAAATACAAATTTTCTGGTACTGAAAATTATATATGTTCTATGGAAATTTTTATTTCAATGAGAATAAAGTTAAATGCATTATCCTAACAAAAAGAAATAAACTAGGAAATTAGAAAACTGTGTTTTCGAAAGTTATGCCTGGAATTTTGGCACTTATTTTGTTTTATTATGTCCAACTGGCTATAGTGTCAACAAGTTATTTAAAATGCTAATATTAGATAAAAAGTTTGTTTAGGTTGTTAAGTCTATCCACACAATTAATTTATTCATTCATTAATAATAAATTATAGTCTTCTGTTATAATATTTTTGGTAGACAATTTGTACCTACCACATGTCTGAAACTATTATATGTGTTCATTTATTCTCAATTGAATAATGACCAAGTATGTAACCAAAAATATTCCCAGATAATCAAAAGTAAAACATACAAAGATGAAAATTATAATAATTTTAAAAATCTTTTCAAAAAAATTAATTTATGTTTTAATGACCACTACGATACATTTCCTTTGTAAGAAAATCTACATGTTCCACAAACTTCTCTTGTTCCACATCCTAGCTGCTTAAAGAATATTTCTTTTAGAGCAACAACTCTTCTTTTAGAAATATGCGTGTATATATGCATTAAAGCATTATGTTTCACATGATAAATATGTACAATTCTATATTTTAATTAAAAATAAATTTGAAATAAATGCACATGATAGCTGTGTTGTGAGCTCTAAGAGAAAGTACAAGTGAGAAACCTGGTGAATACAAGTGAGCAAGTAGAGTTTCTCTTGCTGTTCTTTGTAATCTTGAAAAATACCTGGCACCTTCATATTACCAAAGGCAGGTCCTGGATTCCTCAGGAATGCCAAGTAAAGGTGACACCCATGAATGCTTGATAATCACTCCAATAACTCACAACTCAAGCCTTATCTGATAAACCACCAGAATGCAACACTCTGTGGTAAAGATTGGCAAACTACACCCCACAGGCCAAATCCCATCTCTCTCGTTTTGTAAAAAAAAAAAAAAAAAAAAAAAAAATTATTTTGGAATACACCTGCACTCATTTATTTGCTATTGTGTATGACTGCTTTTCCATGATTATGGCAGAGGTAAAAAAGTTGTGACAGACCGATAACCAATGATTCACAAAGCCTAAAATATTTGCTATCTGACCCTTCATAGTGAAAGTTTGCTGATAACTGCTCTTTATAGTTAACTGACACCAAAATAAAACCGGAACCGCTATACATATCATAGATTTGGATAAAATTATATACCTCAATCAATTAAATATTAAGAATGAAAGGGTAGTGGGGGTGGGAGGAGGTGGGGCTGGTTAAAAGGTACAAAAATAGTTTTAATAAATAAGACCTAGTATTTGATAGCACAATGGGGAAACTATAGTCAATAATTATTTCATTGCACATTTTAAAATAAAGACTAAAATTGGATTGTTTTTAACACAATAATGCTTGAGGGAATGGATATCTCATATTACATGATGTGATTATTATGCCTTGCATTTTACATTTAAACATCTAATGTACCCCATAAATATATGCAGCTACTATGTATCCATAATAAATAAAATTAAAAATAAAAAAGAAAGGTATTCACGTATTTATTATGTATGTACTTCAGTATAAATGCATAATAAAAAGAGATTAGAAATGTTATTTTTTTCTATTGAAATGATGTGAGATTCAAATGCAATAATGTATGGCAAAACTAATTGAAAACTGTATCTTTCTGTTTGTCTGTTACAAAATCATTTATCCCAAAATTTAGGCTGTCAAGTATCATAAATTCAAAAACTTTCTGATAAAATGTTTTTAATTATCGGCGTTGGCAATCTAAAACTAAAGAAAATTACTGAGAAATGATGTCCAAGTGTCTACTTTTGATGGTATCTATGTAATAGAAAATAAACCATCCCAGAAAAAAAATTTTAAATGATGATGATAAATAGAACATTAATGTTATTAACTGTGTTGTGTTTTGGAGATTTCCCTAAATCTGGGTTTAAGAGCTCTGTAGGCTTAAAGGCTTAAAAATCAATTTAAAATTATCATTTGGTAGATTTACAACCATTCACAATACAATTGAATACGTAGAGGTGATGAGAGGCAACAGGCTATTTTCTAAACTATTGATTATCTTGTAATGACTTCTATTTTGATTCACTGATTTGTGGTATAAATTGTTTCATATTACTAGACCTATGTCTCTCTTCAGGCCTTGGAGGAACTGAATGTCTGTGCTTTTTCTACTGCATTATTGCTCTTAACAAAATACTCAGGAATGAAATAGTAATCAGGAAGCTGAAAAAACTTTAAAGCCTCATCAAAGTCCATATACTGCTACCCTTTCACATTGGAAGTTTTGCACTTCTGCTGTTAAAGTTTTATATTCAAAGGTGCATTACTAGATTTTCTAAACCAAAGTCTATCATAACTTTGGTGCAGTAGGTTAACGCTATGGACTAAATTGGACTGAAAGTATTTTATAATTTTTATGGAATCATCAGCCACTGATTTTAAAGATAATCTAAATTTTTTAGTATGAGACATATATAATTACGAAATTATGCAATTAATGTGTACTATTGATAGCGACAGGAGGCAGCCAAATGCCTCGGCAGATAGGGGAAGGTCCCTAGTAAAACCCCACCTCCAAGCTGAAGACAGTTTAAAGTCTGAAAGTTAAGCTACAAGTTAAATTCTCAGACCAGATTGAGAGCTTGTCTTCCTGTTTGGCACGCTTTCCTCTGATTGATCCCCACACTTCACATATTTTACATAAACCTACCCTTTCCTAATTGGTTTTCTATACTGTTGTGCCCACCTTTGAGTGGTATCTTTGCTTTAACCTTTTTTGCAAACCAATCAGCGCACACTCTCCATTCTGAGTTGATAAAAGGCCCCAGATCCAGCCACATGGGGGAACTTTTCCACCTTCGGGTAGGGAAACCACCCACCTCCACTGTGTCCCCTCTCCACTGAGAGTTTTCCTTTCACTTAATAAATTCTATTCTACTCACTCTCTGGTGTTTGCATGCCTAACTCTTCCTGGTCATAAGACAAGAACCTGGACCTAGCTGAGCTAAAGAGCAGAAAGACTGTATCATTTTGGAGGTCCCACTGAGATTGAAATAGGATGAGTAAATGTGAACCTACGCTCTTCACTTTCATTTCCAAGCCTTCTCATTCTCAGGACTTTTCTGAAGAGAGATGAAGCATTAAACCTCTGGAGAGCCAATTAAGAATGGATGGTGCAGCTACAGAGGACAGGATGCCGGAGAGGACCCTGACACCCTCCTATCCCTGCCAATCTCGGGTTGGGAGTGTCGGCCTCATTCCAATCCAGTCTTCTCTATGGCATTTTCCTTCTTTCTTTCTTTCAAGGCTGTCATGACTCCTGTCTCTTCTTTTATAATGTTAAGGGTGTTGCTGGAAACTGCAGAGATATTACTAGGTAGAATGAGCATTTGGCTCAGCCATCACATATGCAAGTCAGAACAATGTGATTTCTGTCTGTTCTTAGAAGCATATCCCCCACCTCCATCCCAAAGGCTGCAGGCACACAGGGCAGATGGATGAGCACATGGCAGCTCCCCACTCATCCTCCCCATCCTGGCTGGGGCGTGTGGCTTTGTTCACTGCATGTACATGCTGCGTCCAACGGTCATGGGTTTGGGAGTGAGCCGTGGCCGCCAACTGAGCCCCAGGTCTGTCTCAGGGATAAGGGTCCCCAAGCAGCTGGCCAGCTAGTGTTTCCTGCCTGCTGCCCCCTTCCACCACATGCCACCATTTGCTGATTCTCTTCCCCTCCATGAACAACTTCTAGCTTCCTTTCTTAAATCTTCCTTTCTCTGAGCTACCTTTAAAGATTATAGATTTTGTAAAGGCTGCTTACCACCTCTTTGAAAATACCTCGTATACTCATGGTTAAGTCATAACCTTAGTGGAGGCTACTTTTCTTAAAGTACAAAAGCTAGAAATATTGGCCACTTCCCATGGCTAAAGTCAGGTAACAAGGGATTTAAAATGATTTTCTTAAAGAGTGCTATGGTTAAAAGCTTAATTAAAAGAGGATATCCAAGATATAGGTGTATTTAAAAGACCTTTATGTTTTTCTCTTGGTGAATCTTGTTTTTCTGGAAAAAGATTTTTTCTCAGTCGACTGAATTATTTTTATCCGTTTTGTCTTGCCACTCTTAATGCAGACATGAGAGGCCCTAAGATAACTTCTGAGAACATGGGACTCCTTGAGAAAAATGGAGAATGTGACACAGACCCCATTTTGGGAAAAAACCCTGTTTTTCTCATGGAACCCAAAGAATTAAAAGTGTATATCCCTCGCAAATCTATTTATGTCTCCCAGCTATGCCTGTTTATTAGGCCCTAGGAACTAAATTCTTTCCTAGTCCTGTTTCTTGAAGGACTCTACCCTGAGGTCAGTAATCCAATTAGGAGACTGGCAAATGAAAAGTCTTACAACTACTAAATCTTCTTCTGTCTGTCTGTGTAATCATATATGTGTTATTTGTGTGGTGGTTATAGAAAAAAGGTCTAATTAATTGGCTTAAAGAAAATAAGTGCTTAGATCAAATATTTTCTTAAGAAAAAGTAAAAGCTGTAATGCTTTTTAGTTCATGTGAATTTAATCTTTGAGAAATAAGTTTTAAAGATAATTGGTAAAATACAAATGTCTTCAAAATGTAAATATGTGGTCTGATGGTTTGTAAAAATTAAGGTTGCAAAAGAAATTCTGTGTGTGAACATACTAACTTCAAAAAGGTATTATATAATTTTCCATAAATTGAGCATTGAAATAAAAGCACAGCAAGATTTTCTTTCTTTTTTTTTTTTTTTTTTTTTTTTGAGATGGAGTCTCGCTCTGTCACCCAAGCTGGAGTGCAGTGGCGCGATATCGGCTCACTGCAAGCTCCACCTCCCAGGTTCACGCCATTCTCCTACCTCAGCCTCCCGAGTAGCTGGGACTACAGGTGCCCGCCACTGCGCCTGGCTAATTTTTTGTATTTTTAGTAGAGACGGGGATTCACTGTGTTAGCCAGGATGGTCTCGATCTCCTGACCTCATGATCCACCCGCCTTGGCCTCCCAAAGTGCTGGGATTACAGGCGTGAGCCACCGCGCCCAGCCACAGCAAGGTTTTCTTAAGGCACTGATCTGCTCTCTAACAAAAATTTGAAAAGGGTTATACGAGATTTACAAGAATCTCACCTCATGGTCAAGGTGGTTAAGATTGGCCAAAATTATCTATAAGGTTTCATTAAAAATTGGGGTTGACATTAATAGTAGACTAACGCAAGGGTGAAATATGGCTTTCTCTCTCTTGAACAGGATTTTTATGTAATATTAAAGAAAGATTGTTTGGAAAGCTAAGTCTTCCCTCTTAATGAGTAATGGTTTTTGCCCTTTTAAAAATTTTTGAGTCATCATTTTGGCTAACTAAATGACCTATGGTAACCTGGAATTATATTTCATAGTATGAAGTGTTTTAACCTTTAAACTGTTTGATAGGCTTCCCAAAATCAAATGTCAGCTTCAAAAATTGCCTTTTCTGATCCTTAACTTTTAGATGCTACGGAGGAAACCTGGAACATTCAAATGAGTGGTAAACAGGATTATTTTACATGTTTAGTTATGGGAGATTGCCAAAATAATGTTTAATCTTCTACAGGTTATGCTTTAGTGAATAACGGTAATATATGTTCCAAAATTGTATGTGATTTTTTAAAATTTTAATGTCTGTGTATATGCTGTCAACCATAATTAAGGTTATTGTTATTGTAAACCACATAAATAACCAAATTTCTTTGTCAATAATGTTTTTGACTGTAACTACCCTGAAGACATTTTGTCATTCACCGACAATTGTTGTCTTGCTTTTATTCTTTTCAAAGGATGGTTTATAATCAGCTATAGGACTTTAACAGCTGCTCTCATATGCAGATTACTGATAACTTTGGAGACTGTGACATTGGAATAGAGGAAAACCTACAGGACTCATGAAGAGCTGAAATGTTCACGAATATCAAGAAGAACAAGAGTTAAACATATGTATTTATAAAACTTTGAAACATATTTTATCTTCTCTCAACTCCTGTGACTCCATACCCAATATTTACAGTATTAAAACTTATAGATTTCTGGCATTTCAACCACTGTTGTCTAATACTGTATGGAAATGTATAACTCTTAAAAATGTTCAAGTTGATCTGAGCTAAAGCAAGAAAAAAATGAGCACAAAGTAAAGGAAGCAATTCTAATAATTGAAACAACAAACAACAAAGAATCTGATAGAGAAAACATTTCCTAAAGCACAGAGTTAAACAAAACTAGAAATGTGTAAATGTATGACATCAAGTACTGTATGAAAAGTGCATTTTTTAGTTTAGAAAATGTAGTGATGATCTTTATTATGCACTTATGTAAATGTAGGGTACATACCCAAATACTAAGACTATGTAGTAGGTGCTGTAATAAATTTATTCAGAAATTTTTTCAAAAATTTCTTTTCTTACAGTAAGAGCCTTCAACAATATTGAACCTTCAATAAGAATAATTTATCTCAACAATACATTAGTTCATTTCACATGTATTACACATCTAACATGTTATCAGACACAATAAATACAAAAATTAATAACATTAGTTTTCTCAAATGATGTACAGCCAATCAGTTTCTTGACATCTATAAGCAAAGAGGCCAAGTAAGGCAAAAGATCTTAGTTCAACAAGTTTCCTCAGTGAAGGGCAATAGAAGGGGTCAATAGGGTAGAGAAGGAGAAATGAGATAACTTTAGGTCATTTGCAGGGGAAGAGCATGAGAATGATGCACATCAAATAGGTAAGTATTAATATAAATTGAAAGCTAATACACACCATGGAGACACTGGATTCTGCAGAAGAGCACAGTCAGCAGGATAGGATATCAGAGGCACATATGAAGGGCACGTAAATAAAGCTATTAGGTAAAACAAAAGTATATTCATTGAGTTTATAGCTTTGCTTGCATGTTTTAGTTTATGTTCCCCAAAACAGAGTTCATAGAACAAAGTTTCCCAGCTGAGTGCATACTGTTAATCCTGATCATAGGAGCACCAAAACATCTTCAGTGAATCCAGCAAATTCCATGCATATAACTCCTTGCCTCTGTTTGGTAGCAGACGTTGTATTTCCTCATAATAATCAAGGTCTATTATCTATGATTGAAAAGAAACATTTCTTTATCTGATTGTCCACTCGATTGAGAAGCTCAAAGGGACCAAGTAGTGCTCCCAACATTAAGTTCAGTGGAATGGTGATTGGGCCAACTGGTGAAAGCATTGCCTCCTGGGAAGCCAAGACCTTTCAGTCAGTAGAACCCTAAGGCTGAAGAAACTAGAAATACAAATACTGGAAGTGAGTCAGCAGGAGTGATGGTAAAAAATGTCAAACTTCCCTATACCCCTTGGAAACATTATTTAGCATTTGACCACAGAATGATATGTCAGTCTTGGTTCCATGACAATACTGTATTCTGTACGATATAACTTTGACTGTACCATGTTGTCATCCACAACAATTGCTTTAGGCAAGCCTTTAAGAAATTATAATAAAGGTCTAACAGGCCACAGGTTTTCAGGTGATACAGCAATCAGTAACAAATTATTCTTCAAAACCAAATGGGCTCCTTGGTCTGAAACAGCTATGTGGGATCACATGTGAGTACATCAGAAGGCTGTAAGTAAGTGGTTAGTGGAAATCATACAAGCATTGTGGCCAAGGAAGGCCAATGAATTTCAGAGCAGATATAAATTATTGAAAGTGTGAATTACTGTTATCTTCAGTTAGAAGAAGGCTAATATAATAATCTTGAAACCAAGTGTCTGGTTGGTCTCTTTCATGGATGGAATCATATCAAGTTTTCAGCATTGGTTTCTACTATTGACACATCAGGCATTTATAAGAAATGGTAGTTGTGCAAACTCTGGCGAGAGGTATGCCAGGGTATTGCAGCCATTCATAGCCTCCATTTCTGCTATTACGGTTCTTTCTTTATGGGCCCATTGAATAAACATTGAAGTAGCTGAGAATAGAAGATGGTTTACATCTAGGGAAAGCCTCTCTGTGGTTGCTGAGTGTCTCTTCTTCGTAGATACTGTCCGGTGGGTATTGTTGTAAGACACAAAGATATGCCAACTCTATACTCACTTTCCTAGATCCATTCTTATGCATATTCCAGTCAGCGTTGTCTCCCAAATCTTCCAGTATCACTCTTCACAAGGCCTTACCAATCAAACCAGACATTTTTCATGTATATTCCTACTTCAGGCCACTTCTTTCTTAATACCAGATTAATTACCGAGGATATGGTGCAAAATTCAGCATCTAGGAGGATTTGTTATCAACTGTTGTACACCTCTCCATAAAAAGCTTGCCACTGCATCCTTGCCAGAACTAAATTCCTGACGGATAGAAGTCTTGTGATTTTCTAGCCTGAAACTCTCATCTTGTAAGTCAAATCAGGTTCAATGAATAGTACTGTGGGAAAGACTTGACAATTTTGTTTCTCGATGAAAGTAGACTATTAAAAAATCCAGCCAGTCTTGACACAGTGGCCTTTCAGCTTTTATGTGAAAAATAGTTAGCTATTCCATTGTGGAAAAATACTATCCGCTTCTCCAATGCCTGAATTAAAATCACTGGCTAATTGGTGCCCTTGTTTCACAGAAGTGTCTCTAAGTGTGTAAGCCTTGTTACATGATGACAAACTGTAATTTGGTGGCATCCAACAGGTGATTGACTCTCTTCAGCCTCAGAATCAGCTAAGAATCAAAAGAATATAGAATCCACTTGCATAGTGAGTAGGACTCCAGGACGGTCTCCTAGCTTTAGCTGTTGTTCCTCTTCGTGAACGTTGTTATATTTTACATATCCTGCCTCCCCTGCCTCCGACTATTTGGTTGCTGCCAATTAAATAGCTGTTTGGTCAGTCACTTGGAAAATTACAAATACTGGATTAACACTCCTCATCCCTTTGGATTCATAACATATTGAGACAGATCCAAGCTGTTAATGATAATGTATGGGCTATTCATTTAGAAGCCCCTGGAATAAGTTGGTTCTCTAATGAGACTGAATGGGAATCAAGATGCTGATTGAGCCTGCACCACCTAGATTTCCACCATTGCTGCCTGGATCCATCACCCTATTAATCATAGAAACACATCCACCACCATCCATGAAGCAGGGAGTAAAACATACTATATTTCTCATGTAGAGGTTACCATTGCAACTCTTGCCAAAAGACGATGTGTTTATTTCACAGTGGGGAGGCAATATTGTGTGGGGCCTCGCCTCTGTCTACACTGGCTTATTGACTACATCAGATCTTAGACTCACTCTTAGGGAAATGGGGATTGTTCTCTACTTTTGGCCCTTTTTCGTGATTACAAAACTTCTGATTCAGTCTGATTAAACAAGTTCAGGCACACCATTGTCCCTCTGAAAACTTATCTGTATACAGTGTTTGGTGTTTCAGGTAATTTTTAGTCTGACAAGGTTGTATCTTAAATATGTAATAAAAGCCACTAAGCAATAGGCTTTCAGTCAAGATTTTCAATGAAATTTGTATATGCCTACCATGCACAAGCATCTGGTATTCATGACCACTCGAACAACTTCCTCAAAAATCAACTCAAAAGGATTTCTGACTTTATATCTCCCCATTCCTCCTCCTCTCCACACCTTAATAAAGTAGCAAGCTCTTTATGGAAAGGTGTATCACCATTGATAACAAATCCTCCTAGATGTGGAATTTTGCAACATACACTTGGTAATTAATCTGGTATTAAGAAAGAAGTGGCCTGAAGTATGAATATACATGAAAAATCTCTGGTCTGATTGGTAAGGCCTTGTTCACCAAATGTTCTGTTTCAAAATGGCAGCTACCCTCTGAACTATTCCAGAGTAATGAACAAAAGGAATTTGAGGAGGGTGTATATAAACCTACTTTGAACCATTCCTTGGCACAATGTATGTTGTCTTCCTCCTAACAGCAATCCCTGCTGTTCTGGTTGGTGAACCCAGATAGCAGCATGGCTAAAAGGAGGCCCAGCAGATTCAAACTTAATTCCTCTTCAGCAACCTGGATTTGATTGTTGAATTAACATGGTCCAACAGCATAATGATAAAGACTACATGTCGACTGCACTGTTCTCTGAGTCGTCTACAGTGGTCTATTTGGGAAAAGTAGGGAACATATTAAGTCTCCTCAAGTCTTATAAATTGCCGTTGTTTCTATTGCTCCTGAAATTTTTAGATTAGAATTCCAATAGTGAAGAACAGATTATTGTAAAATCAGTGTTTTTATAGCTATTGGAACGTGACATACCAACTTTGTGGCAATGAAAAGAGAGCAACTTTACCCCCAACTGAAAAGTGGACCTCTTATCTCCAGGAGTGACAGAGGATTAAGACATATTAATAATATATATTTCAGTATTGCTACTGTTTGAAGTAAAATGCCCTGGTTGCTTTCACTCTTCCCAATTTTTGCAAACACCATATATTTGAATTTTGATAGCATTTCCTCACCAAACAGACCTGAAACACAATTTGATGAATACTTCCCTTAGCCTTCCTATGAAGCCTACTGGAAATTGCACAGGAGGGCTTCTGCTTCTGCATCTCTCAAAGAAAACACCTGTCAGTCTCTCTAGATGTATTTCCTGCCATTATTCCCTTATCTGTCACCCATTTATTGCATAGGGTAGGTGAATGGAACCTGACTGAGTGGCATGGACAAAAAAAAGACCAGTAGAATGAACTCTTCTCAGGCAGTTCTTACTGTAAACAAGGTCCAGAATCAATTATTTGACATTAACTGGGAACCTTAAGACTTACCACTGGCCAGGAGCCCACAACAGAGGGAGGAATGTTCACCTGGGCAATTGACTGATGTAGTTTCCATTTGGGGGTCTCAACAATTATAAACATTTTCTGAATGGAGTAGTATATGCATCCGGTAATCATTGCACTTCTGGGGAAACCAAGTATTAACTTCGCTCTGTTTTGAAAACACATTTGCTTGCTACTTAAAGGTGACCATAGAAGACATCAAGGAGACTTAACCCAAAGAACACTGTATCAAGGCATTTAATACTCAAACTCCCAAAGGTCAAGGATAAAGAAATGTTGGTAAAAGCAGCAAGATGAAAGAAATAACAAACAACAGAGCTTCAATATGTCTGGCCGTAGACTCTCTGGAAATCTTACAGACCTGGAGAATGTGTCATGACATATTTAATGCACTGAAAACAGAATTTCACCCTAGAATAATATATCAAGTGAAAATATCCTTCAAACACAAAGGAGGAATAAAGTAAAACCCAAAATTAGTAGAAGAAAAGAAATACTAAAGATCAGAGTAGAAATAAATGCAATTAAAATGTGAAAAATATAAGTGATCAGTAAAATAAAATCTTGGTTTAGTGAAAAGATAAACAAACTTGAAAAAATTAGCCAGACTAACAGAAAAAAGAAAGAAGACCAAAATGAATAAAATAAGACATGAAAAGGGAGTCATTAAAGTTGATACTGGAGAAATTCAAAGGTTCATTATTGGCTACTATGAGCAACTATATGCCAATACGTTGGAAAACCTAGAAGAAATGAATAAATTCCTAGACACATACAACCTACCAAGATTGAACCATGAAGAAATCCAAAACCTGAACAGACTGATAACAAGTAAGGAAATCAAAGCCATAACAAAACTTCTCTCCGCAAAGCAAATCCCAAGACTGATGGCTTTACTGCTGAATTTTATCAAATATTTAGAAAAGAACTAATATTAATCCTTCTCAAGTTCTTCCGAAAAATAGAGGAAGAGGAAATACCTCCAAATTTATTCTATGAGGCCAGTTTTACCTTTACACCAAAACAAGACACGTCTAATAAAAAAAAAAAAAACCTTACAGGCCAATATTTCTGATGAACAGTGATGCAAAAGTTCTCAAATAATTCAAGCAAGCCAAATTCAACAATGCATTAAAAAGATCATTAATCATGACCAAGTGGAATTTATCCGAGGGAAGAAAGAGAGTTCGTCGTATGTGAATCAATCAATATGATACATCCTGTTCACAGAATAAAGAACAAAAACCATATAAACATTTCAATTGATGATGGAAAAGCATTTGATAAAATTTAATATTGCTTCATGATGAAAATCCTAAAAAAACTGGGTACAGAAGAAACATACATCAACATAATAAAAGCAATATATGACAAACACACAGGTAGCATCGTTTTGAATGGGGAAAAACTGAAAATCTTTTTTCTAAGATCTGGAACATGACCAGGATGTCCACTTTTACCAATGTTATTGAACATATCCCTTGAAGTCCTACCTGAGCAATCATATGAAAGAAAGAAATAAGGGGCACACAAATTGGAAAGGAAGAAGTCGAATTATAATTGTTTACAGATGATATGATCTTATATTTGGAAAAACCTAACAACTCTACCAAAAAACCTCTTAGACCTTGTAAATTCAGTACAGTTGCAGGATACGAAAACAAAATACACAAATCAGTAACATTTCTATGTGCCACTAGCAAACAATAGTTTAAAAAATCAAAAAAGAATCCCCATTTATAAGAGCTAAAAATACAATTAAATACCTAGGAATTAACTTAACTAAAGAAAAGACAGATATCTACAATGAAATCTATAAACATTGATGCATGAAATTGAAGAGGACGCAAAAACTAAAAAGATATTCAATGTCATGATTTGTGAGAATCAACATCGTTAAAATGTTCATACTATACAAAGTAATCCACAGATTCAACACAACCCCTTTCAAAATACCAATAATATTATTAACGGATATAGAAAAAAATCCTAAAATTTATATGGAACCATAAAAGAGCCATAATAGCCAAAGCTATCCTGAGCAAAAAGAACAAAAGTGGGGGAATAACAGTACCCTACTTCAAATTAAACTACTGAGCTATAATAACCAAAATGGCATGTTACCCACAAAGAAGCAGACACATAGACCAATGAAACAGAATAAAGAACCCATAAAGAAAACCATGCATCTAGAGTGAACTGATTTTCCACAAAAAGGCCAAGAACATACATTGGAGAAAGAACAATATCTTCCATAACTGTTGCTGGGGAAACTGGATATCCATATGGAGAAGAATTAAACTAGATCCTTATATCTTGCCATATAGAAAAATCAAATCAAAATACATTAAATGCTTAAATCTAAGACGTTAAACTATGAAACTCCTACAAGAAAACATTAGGAAATCTCTCTGACATTGGCGTGGGCAGAGTTCATGAGTAATAATCCACAAGCACCAGCAACCATAGTAAAAATGGAGAAATGGGATCACATCTGGTTAAAGAGCTTCTGCACAGGAAACCATTGACTAAGTGAAGAGACAACCCACAGAATGGCAGAAAATATTTGCAAACTAACAAATATCTGACAAGAGTTTAATCACCAGAATATATAAGGAGCTCAAACAAATCTACAAGAAAAAAATATAATAATCTGATTTTAAAAATGAGCAAATGATCTGAATAAACATTTCTCAAAAGGAGACATACAAATGGCAAACAGGTATATGAAAAGATACTCAACATCACTCATCATCAAAGAAATGCAAATGAAAACTATAATGAGATGTGATCTCACCCCAGTTAAAATGGCTTTTATATAAAAAGCCATTGACAAATGCTGGTGAGATTAGGGAGAGAAGAGAACTATTTTGCACTGTTGGTGAGAATGTAATTTAGTAAAACCATTATGGAGAACCATTTGGAGGTTTCTCAAAAACCTCAAATTAGAACTACCGTATTATCCAGCAATCCCACTGCTAGATGTATACCACAAAGAAAGGAAACCAGTATATTGAAGAGATATTGGTACTCCCATATTTATTGCAGTACTATTTATAATAGCCAAGATTTGCAAGCAACTTAAGTGTTGCTTGCATGGATAAAGAAAATGTGGTACATATACACAATATAGTATTAGTCACTCATAAAGAAGAACACGATCCTGTCATTTACAACAACATGGATGGAACTGGAGGTCATTATGTTAAGTAAAATAAGCCAGGTACAGAAGGACAGGCTTCATATGTTCTCACTTATTTGTGAGAGATAAAAATTAAAACAATTGAACTCATGGAGGCACATTGTTGCCAGAGGCTGGGAGGAGTAGTGGGTTCCGGGGGTTAGGGGAAAGTAGGGATAGTTAATATGTACAAAAAATATTTAGAAAATAGAAATAATATGTACTATTTGATAGAATAACACGGTGAATATAGTTAATAATAATTTTATTGTATATGTTAAAATAAAGTATAATTCATTTTTTGTAACACAAAAGATAAGTGCTTTAGGTGATGGATTCCCCATTTATCCTGATGTAATTTTTACATATTGCATGCCTATAACAAAATATCTCATGTAACCCATAAATATATACACCTACTATGTACCCACAAAAATTAAATATATATTTAAAAATTGAGCTAGTTGCTTTCAGTTTCTGACACTCAGTCTACCTCCTGGTCTTTCCTAGTCATAGGCATGGTCCTTCTAGAAGAGTCTCCAATTGGAACCTTGATGTGTTTCAGTCTCATTATATGCCTGTAACAAAATATCTCATATACACATGTTTAGACTTTCTGACTTGCCTAAACATCCCTCTTTATATTTATATATTTATAATATATAAATTTATATATTTACAACACATATACACATATGTGTATTTGAGATATTTTAAAATGTACACCTATGCACTCATAAAAATACATCAAAATGTACACCTATGTACTCACAAAAATAAAAATATACTTTTTAAAAAGGTGGTCATAAACCATGTGTTTCATAAAACACCACCAGTAGATCAAATAAACCTTATATTACTACAGAAAGTGTTCTAAAATGAGTATAATCTTCATCAGACAGGGGAGCTTTTCAGAGGTCTAATAGATTTATTACTATGTTATGCTGCAAGTAATTTTTCCTACAATGAGAGTCATCCAATTAGGAAAATTTGTTATACAATCTGCCCCTTATTTTAGTTGATTTTATCAATTATATCATCTCAGCTCTAAAAAGCATTCAGTTCCACCTGAACTTGCTGGTTGTTTTGTGTGATAAGATTGCCATAAACTTCATACCTGCAAACCACGTTCTTATTTATGCAACCTCTAATTCAGCATGCAGTCCCTGAATGAATTCCTCTGAATTAGTGCCATGGCCAGTAAAGAAATATGATAACAAGCCTGGCATGGTGACTCACACCTGTGAGCGCTTTGGAAGGCCAAGGTGAGAAGATCACTTGAGGTCGGTATTTCAAGATCAGCCTGGGCAGACTGATAGGAACCCATCTCTACAAAAAGTAAGAATAAAAATAAAAAATAAACAAAACGTAAGAATAAAGCCACCCATGTTTCTATGATAGACTCTAATGGTTAATAACATTTGCTTAGCTGCCTGAGTTGAGGATGCTGGGAAGCATGATTAAAATCAATACTTCAGATTGACCCCATTCTGCTGCTTATAGTCCTGTAGACAGTTGTCTTAATTAAAAGCTGAATGAGGATGCCACTTTCAAAAAAACAGTGCTAGAGCAATCGAATAGCTGTAGCAACAAGTAACCTCAACTTCAAATTAGTACTTTATACAAAAATTAACCTGATAGGGATCATGATTTTAAATGTAAAATATAAAACTATAACAGTTTTAAAATAATATAGAGAGACGAAACTTCTGATACAGGAATTGTTGAATAGCTTTTACTCTTGCCACTAGAACATATTTTAATAAAAATTCAAAATTTTTCAATTAAATTTTTATATTACATTAAATTAATTAGTTAAATAAAATTCATTACAATTAAAATGATTTGCTTTGCAAAAGACCCTGTTAAGGGATGAAAAAAGAAGCTACTAAATGGGAAAAAGTCTTTACAATATGCATATCTGACAATAAATCATGTCCATAATATTTAAAATATTTTAAAATTTAATAGTTACAAACAGAAAGAATAAAGAAATTTGAATTAAAAAATGGCAAAAAAAAACTTTAAAAAAGAATTTAAGACACACTTCAAAGGAGAGGATGTATAAATGGCAAATAAACACATGAAAAAAAAAGGTTCACCGTTACTAGCCATGAGGGAAATGCAAATCAATAGCACAATGAGAAATCACTACATACCTATTAAAGAAGCTAAGATAAATAATTATGACAATATCAGATTTTGAAGTAGATGAGGATAAACTCTCATACTGCTGGTGGAGATGTAAATAAGATAGCCACAGTGGAAAACAGTTTTGCAGTTTGTTAAGAAACTAAAACTATACTTATAATATGACCCAGCAACCACATACTTATCCCAAATTCTAGGGAAATGAACATTTATGTTCACACAAAAATGTTTACATAATTGTTCATTGCGCCTTTATCTGTATTCACCTCAAACTGGAAACAACCAAAGTGTCCCACAGTATTGGTAAATACCATCATCTAATACTAGGCAATAGAATTGAATGAAGGATACATGCAGCAAATTTGTTGAATCTCCAGTAATTAGGCTGAGTGAAAAAAGGCCAATATAAAAAGTCAGATACTGTATGACTCCATGTATGTAATATTCTCAAAATGAGAAAACGATGGAGATGGATCACATATTAGTAATTGCTTCAAGAAAAGACACAAGACAAGGATGGCCTCTCTCACCACTTCCATTCAACATATTATTGGAAGATTCTGGCCAGGGCAATCAGGCAAGATAAAGAAATGAAGGCATCCAAATAGGAAGAGAGGAAGTCAAACTATCCCTGTCTGCTCATGACATGATCCTATCTTTAGAAAACCCCATAGTTTCAGCACCAAAGCTTCTTAAAATGATAAATTCAGGATACAAAATCAATGTGCAAAAATCACTACATTCTTATACACCAATGATAGTCAAGCCGACAGCCAAATCAGGAATAAACTCCCATTTACAATTGCCACAAAAGAATAAAATACCTAGGAATACAGCTGACCAGGGAGGAGAATGATCTCTACAAGGAGAACTACAAACCACTGCTCAAAGAAATCAGAGAGTACATAAACAAATGGAAAAATATTCCATGCCCATGGAGAGGAAGAATCAATATTGTTAAATTGGCCATACTGCCCAAAGCAATTTATAAATTCAATGCTATGCCTATTAAACTACTATGGACATGCTTCACAGAACTAAAAAAAAAAGAAACTATTTTAAAATTCTTATGGAACCCAAAAGAATCCCAAATAGCCCAGGCAATCTTAAGCAAGAAGAACAAAGCTGGAGACATCACGCCACCTGGCTTCAAAGTATACTACAGGGCTACAGTAACCAAAACATCATGGTAGTGGTACAAAACCAGACACATAGACCAAAGGAACAGAATAGGGAACTCAGAAATAAGACTGCACACCTACAGCTATCTGATCTTTCATAAACCTGACAAAAACAAGCAATGGAGGAAAGGACTCTCTATTCAATAAATGGTGCTTGAATAACTGGCTAGCCATATGCAGAAGATTGAAACTGGACCCTTTCCTTACACCATACGCAAAAATTAACTCAAGATGGACTGAAGACTTAAATGTGAAACACAAAACTACAAAAACCCTGGAAGACTTCCTAGACAATACCATTCAAGACAAAGATTTCATGACAAAGTCGCCAAAAGCAATTGCAACAAAAACGAAAATTGACAAATGGGTTCTCATTAAACTAAAGAGCTTCTGCACAGCAAAAGAAACTATCAACAGAGTAAAAAGATAGTCTACACAACGAGAAATATTTTTTTCAAATGATGCAGCCAACAAAAGTCTAATAATCAGTGTCTATAAGGAACTTAAACAAATTTACAACAAAAAGAAAACGCCGTTAAAAAGTGGGCAATGGACCTGAACAGACACTTTTCAAAATAAAACATGCATGTGCCCAACAATCATATGAAAAGAAACTCAATTTTACTCATCATTAGAGAAATGTAAATCAATACCACAATAAGAAACCATCTCATACCAGTCAGAATGACTATTATTAAAAATAAAATTTTTAAAAAACAGATGATAGCAAGGTTTTGGAGAATGCTTATACACTGTTGATGGGAGTGTAAGTTAGTTCAGCCATTGTGTAAGACAGTGTTTCAATTTCTCAAAGACCTAAGAACAGAAATACCATTCAACCCAGCAATCTATATTATTGGGTATACACCCAAAGGAATATAAATTGCTCTACTATAAAGACACATGTATGCATATGTTCATTGCAGCACTGTTCACAGTAGCAAAGATATGGGATTGACCTAAATACTCATCAATTATAGACTAAAGAAAATACTATGCAGCCATAAAAAAGAATGAGATCATGTCCTTTGCAGGGCCATGGACGGAGCTGGAGGCCATCATCCTTAGCAAACTAACATAGAAACAGAAAACCAATCACCACATTTTCTCACTTATAAGTGGGAGCTAAATAATGAGAACACATAAACACATAGAGGAGAACGACACACACTGGGACCTTTTAGAGTGTGGAGGGTAGGAGGAGGTGGAGGATCAGGAAAAATAACTAATGGTTATTAAGGTTACTACCTGGGTGATAAAATAATCTGTACGACAAACCTCCATGACTGAAGTTTACCTATGTAACAAACCTGCACCTGTACCCCTAAACTTAAAAGTTTTTTTTTAAAAAAAAACCTTAGGACAAACTGTAATTTTTGAAAGTGAGTTTTGTTCCTGTATACTAATCACAAAAAAGTGGAAAAAATGTTTTAAAATTATGCTAATTAAATGATTATAAACATCAACTATACATAGGATTAAATCTAATGCTGATATGTGAGAACACTACAATAATAACAATAAAATACTTTTGAGATAAACCAAAGAAAACATCAATAAATGGAGGGACACATTTTATTTAAGTATTGGAAGATTCAGTATCTTATGTTTATGGAATTTGTATATCAGTTTGAAATTTTAAAGATGTATATTCTATAAAAATAGCTTTACATATAAAAAAACTGGATTGGAACTTTGGGTTTGAAGATGTAGAAGGTATTTTGAGATGATTGGGGAAATTCAAATATGCCCTGTAATTTGATCATTTTCTAGAACGATTATTACATTTCTAGAGTTTGATATGGGAATTATGTTTATGTAACAGATTGAACTTATTCTTAGGAGATATGTGCTAAAGTATTTAGAGATAAAATCTCATGATTTCTGCAAGTGGTTTTCAAATACATAAGTGATATATGTAAAAAAATTGGTCTACAGATTGAAAATTTAAGAGACAAATCAAAATAGCAGGAGATTTTGTAAGGAAGCTGACAAATAGAATTTAATATTCATATGGAAATTCAAAGGATCAAGAAAAAACAAATCCAACACAAAGAATAACAAACATGGAGGATATAATCTATCTATCAGATATCATGACATATTATAATTTATATTTATTAAGACAGTATAATATAGCTATGTGTATGAGCAAGTAGCCCAATAAAAGTAAATTACAGAAAAAGATCAACACATATATTATTAAGTGTTTTACGTCAAACCTGAGAGTGCAGTGCATTGAAAAAGGCTAATTTTTGGAAACTTTGACAATAGACTAGACCAAGCAGAGGAAATAATTTCAGAGCTTGAAGACTAGTCTTTTCAATTAACCCAGTCAGACAAAAATAAAGGAAAAATGAGTTTTTAAAAATGAACAAAGTCTTAGAGAAATATGGAATAATGTAAAGGGGATACATGTGAAGGTTGGTTGAAAGGGTGCATTGCATAATACTGGGGTTTTGGCTTATAGTGAAATGATCACCCAAATAGTGAACATAGTACCCAGTAGGCAGTTTCTCGGCACAAATGTTACAAGCCAGAAAAATTGGAGCCCTATTTTTAGTCTCCCTAAATAGGAAAAATGCCAGTAAAAAAATTATGTCTTGCCAAAGTAAGCTTCATAAATAAAGGAGAAATAAAATATTTCCCAGGTAAATAAATGCTAAAGGAAATTATCACCACCAGAATAAGCTTACAAGAAATGGTACAAGGAGTTCTAAATATGGAAATGAAAGAACAATACTAGCTACCATAAAAGTACACCTAACTACAAAGTTCCCATAGCCTATAAAGCAATTACATCATTGATACTACAAAGCAACTAGCCAAAAACACTATGACAGGAACAAAATCTCACAAATCAATATTAGCCTTGAACATACATGACTTAAATGCTCCACTTAAAAGTCAGAGTGGTAAATTGGATTAAAAAAGACCCCACCTTCCGCTGACTTCAAGAAACCAACATCACATGTCATGAGACCCACAGGTTTAAAGTGAAGGAATGTAGAAAGATCAATTACACAAGTTGAAAACAAAAAGAGCAGGAGTTGCAATACTTGTATCAGATAAAACAGACTTTAAACCAACAACACCAAACACACAAACACACACACGCACGCACACACACAATAAAATTAAGTCAGAAATGTAAAAAAAAATTTGAGCCAAATGAAAAGAGATACAACATACCATAAACTCTGAGATCCAGCAAAAAAAAGTTAAGAGTGAAGCTGATAGTGCCAAATGCCTACAACTAAAAGACAGAAATATCTCAAATTGACAACCTAACATACAGCTAAAGGAACTAGAGAAATGAGAACAAACCAAACTTCAAAATAGCAAAACAGCAGAAGAAAATAAATAACAAATATTATAGCAGAACTAAATGAAATTGAGGCCAAAAAGCATGCAAAGGATCAATGATAAAAAAAATGATACTATAAAAGAATAAACAAAATTGCTAAAATGCTACCTACATTAGCAAAAATGGGAGAAGACTCAAATAAGAACAATCAGAAATTACAAAGGTGACATTACAACTGATACCACAGAAATACATAAGATCCTCAGAGACTATTATGAACATCTTTATGCACACAAACTAGAAAATCTAGAAGAAATTGTTCCATTCCTGCAAACGCAAAACCTCCCAAGATTGAACCAAAAAGAAATCAAAATCCTGAGCTGACAAATTATGAATTACAAAATTAAATCAGTAAGAAAAAAATCTATCAAACAAAAGAAGCCCTGGACCAGATGGACTACAGCCAAATTCTACCAGACGTTCAGAGATTATTTAGTACCAATCTTATTGAAATTATTCCCAAAAATAGAAGAAAAGAGATTCCTCCCTAACCCATTCTATGAAATTAGCATCATTCTGTTACCAAAATCTGGCAAGGATACAATAATAACAAAAAACTACAAGCCAATATCTCCGATGAACCTAGACTGAAAAATCCTCACATAATACTAACAAACCAAATCCAGCATCACATCGGAAAATAATTTATTATGGTCATGTGGGCTTTATTTGTGTAATGCAAGGATGGCTAACATATGCAAATCAATACATGTGATTCACCACATAAAATTAAAAACAGAAACCATATGATGATCTCAATAGATGCAGAAAAAGCTTTCAATAAAATCCAACATTCCTTCATGATAAAAATCCTTCAGAAATGAGGCAACAAAGGCACATATTTCAATAAAAGCCATATGTGACAAACTCACAGGCAACATCATATTGAATGGACAAAAGTAGAAAGTATTCCCCCTAAGAACTGAAAGAAGACTAGGATGTTCACTTTTACCACTCCTATTCAACATAGTACAGGAAGTCTTAGACAGAGCAATAAGGCAAGATAAAGAAACAGAAAGCATCCAAATTGGAAAAGAGGAAGTCAAATTATCTCCGTTCACTGAGGATATACTATACCTCAAAAACCTAAAGATTCCTACACAATAATCCTAGACATGATAAATAAATTCAGTAAGGTTTTAGGATACAAAATCAGCATATGAAAATAAGTAGCACAGTTATATACTAATATTGTTCAAAGTAATAACATATTCAAGAACTCAATCCCATTTACGATAGCCACATAAAAATGATATAATTAGAAATATATTTAACCAAGTTGAAAGATCTGTACACAGAGAACTACAAAACACTGATGGAGGAAATCATGGATGACACAGTAATCCTTAGTGTATATATACTCTATTCAAGGGTGCAAAGTGGCAGCTGTACTTCCAGTTATATCATTCATATTGCATTTAGGAAGAATAAAAACATAATAAAGATGAAGGACTGACATATAATTATTCCACAAATATTCAATATACATATATATACACACACATACATATATATAAATATATAAAATACTTGGTCATAATTTTGTCATATGGCCTGTTCTAGATGCAAAGAAGGCTGATAAATGGAGTACTCAAGGTTTGCTTCAGTCAACATAAAAGTACATTTGTTGATAAGAAAGAAGTAGATATTAGGTAAGCAATTAGCAATGTTTTACACTGTGGGTGATTAAGCTGCAAAACATATCTCATAATCACAAAATAAATGCTTTCAGCATAGTCCACAGTCAAAAGTGTGTTTTCATTTTCTACTATTACTTTAGACTGAACCTCAACTATAGTTTTTTACATGTGATACACATCTTTTTATTATTCATTCTCCAAACCCATGATAAATAACTTCCTTCATTTTTTATAGCAAATGTTTAAAATAGAGACATGTGAAATAATTCCCAGTGAATACCCAAGCCTTAAGTGATTCATAGATTGCTATTAAAGACAGAAAGTATGTGCTCATTTTAAATTCCAACTCTTATTTGGCTATGCCACACTTATGAATTGGTAACCTCATTACCTATGTCATGAATGACAGAAACCCTTTTATTGAATATTACCAGGATTTGATGCAGTAAGATTTTTCAGATGTCCCATTCATTCATGCATTCATGTATCCATCCATTCACTCTTCTATTCATTTATTGTATAAATATTCATAGAGTTCCTACTAACTGGCATATTGTTCTGGGTGCAATGTTGTAATAAACAAGACATAAGCAATCCATATTCTCCTAGACATTATTAACTATTAGGTTACTTCAAAATTAATTACAGTTTATGCCATTAAACATAATGGCAAAAACCTCAATTACTTTTTGCACCAACCTAAAAAATAGAGAGACATTGAATAAGTGTGTCTAAGAATTAGAAAGAAGTATTTGGGGAGTGTATTACAGAGAGATCAAAATGTGTCATATCAGAAAAGGCTTGCATGAAAAAGTGATATTTAATTTGAGACATGAAGGAGGAAGAAGGCATTAGCTAGGCTAATGTAGTCGGAATTGAGTGGGGAAATTGTTCCACGTTTAAGGAACACCTTGTAAAAATGCTCAGATGTGAAAAAGTACATAGCATGTGCAAAAGACTACAAAAGCAAGAAAATTTAATGACTTGATTTGTGTGTAACTAAGACCTATGTAGAGATAATTGTAGGCAGAAAAATCACATAAAAAGTGACTGATGATAAGGTTATTTTAGTAGTCAAGATTCAAAATGATGATCATCAGAACTTGCATGGCAGTTAGAGATAGTAGAGAGAACTGAATAGATTCCAGAGATAATTAAGAGCTCAAAGATGTGTGGGATGAATCCTAGCTTTCTGGCATTAGCAACTGAGTGGCTAGTAATGCCATTAACTGTAAGTAAAGTGAGTTTGGGATTAAAATTCTTGAGTTAAGTTTTGGATATAATGAATTTGTATGCCTGTGAAACAGCCAAGCAGAAATATTAAGTAACACCAGGCGCAGTGGCTCACACCTGTAATCCCAGCACTTTGGGATGCTGAGCTGGGCGGATCACTTGAGGTCAGGAGTTCAAGACCAGCCTGTGTGACATGGTGAAACTCCATCTCTACTAAAAATACAAAAATCAATCGTGCGTGGTGGCCGCGCCTGTGGTCCCAGCTGTTCGGGAAGCTGAGGCTGGAGGACCGCTTGAACCCAAGAGGCGGAAGTTGCAGTGAGCTGAGATCCTGCCACCACTGCACTCCAGCCTGGGTGACAGAGTGAGATTCTGTCTCAAAAAAAAAAAAAAAAAAAAAAAAGAAGAAGAGACAAAAAAGAAAAAAGAAATAGTAAGTAGCAAGATGGATGAATAGATCGAAACTTAGAGGAGAGTTCCGGGAATTTTCAGCATATAGATAGTAATTAAAATAAAAGGTCATAGTACTACTTAAGTAGAAAAGTTGTAGAAAAAAGAAAAAGTGTCTAGAAAAGATCACAGAGGAATAAAATGATGCTTTGAAGGAATACCTTGCACAGAGCAGAAACTCAATATATTCATTCTAATTCAAATTGAAATCTATCTATATGTAATTATGGGATTCACATTTGATTAGTACAATACTGTAATCTATGACATACTATTAGTAGGATATATTTTTTTTCCATGTTGTAGTTACATCCTAAATCATTTTGCACACCTCCTCATGGGTCACGCTCTGTACTTCACCTTTAGGGATCTGCTGGGACTGGAGTGTATTTCCAGGTTTAGAAGCAAACATGGGTGGTGGATGTAGGTCCTGAGGAAAATCAGCAGTGCCTTATAAGGTAAGTACCTTATGAGACGGAATTATAGTTTCCTCAGTCAAAGCAGGGTTAAATCTTCTCAAATGAGGTGGAGAGGCTACTGATGGCAAAGATTCTTTAGAATTTTCATATGTCCCCATTCCAAATCTCTCGGCAGAAACTCTACAAGCCAGAATAGAGTGGGGGTCAATATTCAACATTCTTAAAGATAAGAATTTTCAACCCAGAGTTTCATATCCAGCCAAACTAAGCTTCATAAGTGAAGGAGAAATAAAATACCTTACAGACAAGCAAATTTACTAACTTTAAGAAGACATCATGAATGTTAGAAATTCAATTTGCATTGTAATTTGACCGCATGCAGTACTACATTTTGGGTTTTCTTTTGAGCAGTCTCAGCTGTGTGGCTATAGGAAATAAGAATTTCTTTCAGAGTAGACATTGAAACTTTCAGGTCATTTATGCAGTACTTTAGCTGGGAATTCAAGTCCCTGAACTAATCTTTTTCTTTCTTCACTTTCTGTAGCACAATTAGGAACAACTAATCAATCTTATACACTTCTTAGTTTTACAAAAAATATTTAAAGATATTATATATTAGTACCCCAAAAGCTTGCCTTTTACAAGTGCTTGATTAGGAGTATCCAATGGTGGTATTTAAAATTTTCAAGAGACATTTTGATATAGTAAATAACTAATCATGTCTCTGTTACATACTTATGGACTATAAGTGCTATCTTTTCTATTGGAAATATAATTATTAGTGCCCTTAAATATAATCAAATAAAAAACCAATTTCAAATTCCCAGAATCAATTCAGAAATTTCATTCTTATGATTCTGCTTTTCTAGAGCCACTCTTGGTACCAAATCTGCACTAGCATTCTCCACAGAAGCAAAAAGTGTGTGTGTGTGCATGCGTGTGTGTGTGTGTGTGTGTGTGTGTCTATATATACGCACAGAGAAAGTAGAAGAGAGAGAGAGAGAAAGAGAGAGTGGGAGAGGCAGATTTATTTCACACAATTGTGGAGGCTGATTCTGAAATCTGCAAGGCAGGCCAGCAGATTGTAGACCTAGGGAAGAGTTCGGGATGTTGTGACTTGAGTCTAAAGGCAGTCTGGAGGCAAAATTATTTTTTTCTAAGGGGATCACAGTCTTTTTACCTTAAGGCCTTCAACTGATTGAGTGAGGCCCACCCACATTATGGAAGATAATCTACCTTACTAAAAGTCTACTGTTTTAAGTGTTAATCTCATCTAAATAAATACCTTCACAGCTACATCTAGACTAGTGTTTGACCAAATACATGAATATTTTGGTCTAGTCAAGTTGACATATAAAATTAACTATCACAGAGGTGAACAATTTGTTTCAAAAAATTATAATTCAAAATTTCTAATTCTAATCCAATTTACTTTTTTAATTTCAAGAATTTCAAAGTTTTAAAATGTTTCCACTTATGAAATCAATGGACATTTATTCAATGTCTACTGATAAATTTTAGACCATACTCTTATTCTCTATTATAGTACAGAAACATTATGGTGATAAATAGATTCCTGTAAAATGAAAGTTAATGTTAAAAATTGTTGATGCACTCTATAAAATTGATTTCAGGCATCACTTAAATACTAGCTAATCTTATTTTTTTTAATTTTTTTTTTTACTTTAAAAAGTTTTGTTTGAAATTTAGCTGTGGGAGGGGTTTAAAATTTCAAAGGTAAAATTCAATTAAAGGAAGGTCAGTGTGAATTTTTCTTAAACCTTCAAGTGCACTCATATCCTCACTGAAGTTAAATTGTCCTGTACCCTTTGTAAAATAGCAATGGTAGTGAGACAAGTTTTCAGTTTGTCCCATCATTAACGATGTTGTGTAAAAGGGATAATTTCCTTTACGGAAAATTGTAATATAATCCTGTGTTTTAGCAAATAACTGAAGACTGTGCCCAGTTATAGTAACACAAATATCTACATACTGATATTTTGAATTCTAACATAGTTAGTAAACAATCAATTTGAAGTACCACATGTATCTTGTTTTCATGGGTCATATGGCTTTGATAACTTATACAGTATATTAAGTTGGATGTGATTTCTGTCAGCATTTTTCAATGTGATAGACATTACCATGCTGGTAAATATATCACAGTGTCTAGAGTAGTTGACCTCAATCATAGAGTTTTGCCTTATTTCCATTCCATTTATTGTCACAGACTTCTAGAAAATGTTATTAATAACACTAAAATATAATTGTGTATACGTTTTTGTGTATATTTATTAACCTAGATTGTGAAGATAAGTGAATTGAATCTGGTGATGCAAAACTGATTAATGTAATGACTACTAGGCTTAGGGACATATCAAAATGTAACTATTGTTTCCAAATTCCTACAAAATAACTAGAGCTCTTTACTTGCAATGTGCTTTATAACTATGCTGTAATATATTTCATTAGTCTTAAATATTGCTGCTGTAAGCCAGACTAGCTGACTATCTGACTTCCACAGTCAGAAAGAGAATAAAACATTACCCATTTATTTTCTTACAGTTTTCATGGTTCAGGAGTCTCAGCAGGCCCTGAGTCCTTGGTACAGGGTCTAACAAGATTGCAATCAAGGTATTAGTTGGTTTACATTCCTTTTTAGAGTTTGGGGCCCTCTTCCAAGCTCATCTGGATGTTCTTTTTGGTTATAAGACTAAAGTTCCCATTGCCTTTCTGGCCGTTAGCCAGTTCATGGAGACCATACAAATGTCTTTGCCAATTGGCCCTATCCCAATTTGGCAGCTTACATTTTAAAACCAGGAAGAGAGTCTTTCACTTTAATCTGGTAAAATGGAATCTCATACAATGTAACCTAATCAAGGGAGTGACCACCCATCACTTTTGCCATATTCTACTACTAGAAACAAGTCACGGACTCCACCTACACTCAAGGGAGGGGCTTACATAATGGTGTGACTTATTAGGGAGTCACCTTGGTGTGTGCCTGCCACATAGCACATCCTGGTCCTCAGCATTATAAAAGTTACAATAAAGTATCAATATGTATCTACTTATCTGTATATCTTTATCAATATTTATTTCATCTATCTATCTATATCAAGAGTCTGATCAGATTTACCCAAATGTCTAAAATTACAGGCTTGAAGAATGCTAATATTCAATTTGCAGAGGCCCCCCATTTTCTTTAAACACAATTTCTAACTACTGCTATCTTTCCCACTTGTGGATGATAGAAGTTATCAAGTTAAAGAAACACATCCCATGCTTATGGATGGGTAGAATCAATATTGTGAAAATGACCATACTGCCAAAAGCAGTCTACAAATTCAGTGCAATCCCCATAAAAATACCACCGTCATTTTCCACAGAACTAGAAAAGACAATCCTAAAATTTATGTGGAACAAAAGAGCCTGCAGGGTCAAAGCAAGACTAAGCAAAAAGAACACATCTGGAGGCATCAAGTTATCTGACTTCAAACTATGCCACAGTCACCAAAACGGCATGATACTGGTATAAAAATAGGCACAGAGACCAAAGGAACAGAATAGAGAACCCAAAAATAAAGCCAAATACTTACAGCCAACTGATCTTCAACAAAGCAAACAAAAAAATAAGGTGGGGAGATAATACTCTGTTCAACAAATGGTGCTGGAATCACATGAAAGCCACATATAGAAGAATGAAACTTGATCCTTATCTCTCACCTTATACAAAAATCAACTCAAGATGGATCAAGGACTTCATTCTAAGACCTGAAACCATAAAGATTCTAGAAGACAACATCAAAAAACCCTTCTAGACATTGGCTTAGGCAAAGAATTCATTACCAAGAACCCCAAAGCAAATGCAACAAAAACAATGAAAAATAGGTGGGACTTAATTAAACTAAGAAGTTTCTGAATGGCAAAAGAAACAATCAGAAGAGTAAACAGACAACTCACAGAGTGGAAGAAAATCTTCACAATCTATACATCCAACAAAGGACTAATATCCAGAATCTACAAATAACTCAAACAATGATAGACAGGATAAAGAAAATGTGGCACATATACACCATGGAATACTATGCAGCCATAAAAAAGGATGAGTTCATGTCCTTTGTAGGGACATGGATGAAGCTGGAAACCATCATTCTCAGCAAACTGACACAAGAACAGAAAACCAAACACTGCATGTTCTCACTCATAAGTGGAAGTTGAACAATGAGAACACATGTACACAGGGAGGGGAACATCACACACTGGGGCCTGTTGAGGGGTTGAGGGGCTAGGGGAGGGATAGTATTAGGAGAAATACCTAATGTAGATGATGGGTTGATGGGTGCAGCAAACCACCATGGCACGTGTGTACCTATGTAACAAACCTGCACATTTTGCACATGTATCCCAGAACATAAAGTATAATTTAAAAAAAAAATTTTTAAAGAACTCAAACAAATTAGCAAGGAAAAAACAAACAATCCCATCAAAAATTATGAATGGACAATTCTCAAAAGAAGATATATAAATGGCCAACAAACATATGAAAAAATGTTCAGCATCACTAATGATGAGGTAAATGCAAATCAAAACCACAATGCGCAAAACCACCTTGCTCCTGCAAGAATGGCCATAATAAAAAAATAATGGATGTTGTTGGGGATGCAATGAAAAAGGAATACTTTTACACTGCTGGTGGAAATGTAAACTAGTACAAACACTATTAAAAAACAGTGTGGAGATTCCTTAAAGAGCTGAAAGTAGAACTACCACTTGATCCAGCAATCCCACTACTCAGCATCTAACCAGAGTAAAAGAAGTCATTATACAAAACAGATACTTGCACAGGCATGTTTATAGCAGCACGATTCACAATTGCCAAAATATGTAACCAGCCCAAATGTCCATCAATCAATGAGTGGATAAAGAAATTGTGATATACATATATATAATGGAATGCTATTCAGCCATTTAAAAGGAATGAAGTGACGGCATTCACAGCAACCTGGATGGAATTGGAGACCACTATTCTAAGTGAAGTAACTCAGGAATGGAAAACGAAACATCATATGTTCTCACTCAAAAGTGAGAGTTAAGCTATGAGGATGCAAAGGCATAAGAATGATACAGTGGACTTTGAGGACTTGGGGGAAAGTAGGGGAGGGGGATGAGTGATAAAAGACTATAAATTGGCTACAGTGTATACTGCTCAGGTGATGGGTGCACCAAAATCTCACAAATCACCACAACTTACTGATGTAACCAACTACTACCTGTTTCCCAAAAACCTTTGGAAATAAGAAAAAAAAATTTTAAAGTTCATGCCAGAATAGGAAAAAAAAAAAGACTCAGAAACTAAAGGCCCAACTTTAAAAAAAAAAAAAAAGAAGTTACCAAGTCAATCATGTTTCTCTGATTCAAATTGATATTAGTTTTATGACATGAAGAACCATAATTGATAAGTCAAAACTTTAAAATCATTTGTGGAAAAGTAATGATTTTAAAGAGTCTAAATCCATAGACTCCCATCTGATTAAAGCTATCTCTTATTATTCATTTTCAACTCCCTATAAAAGATGTTTCCTTTCATGCATATTCCTTTTGCCTACCACCATCTAAAATAAGAATTTTGATTTGAAATAGTAATTTAACTTTTAGTAACCAGAAAGAGAAATGTAAAGTCCTCTGAAATATAACTTACACTCAGTTTATAGAAAAGCTGCCTTTAAAATGGCCAGTGCAATATCAGACACAGAGACTCAGCAGGTAAAAGGCACATGGATGGACAGCACAGCTGCAGCCATTTATTTGCAGGGAGAAAGACTGCATCCTGAGGTTTGCCTTGTCAGAATTTCTTACAGGCTCTTCACAAAGGTGAAAGATATTTATTCTTTGGCATGCCAAGTGAATTTCTCCACAATGCTCTGCTATGTGGTTAGAAATTTGTCTACTGTCTAAATTCAACCCCTTATTAAAAATATCATTGAATAATAAAAATATCTGGTGTCTTTGAATATATAATATCACTTACTAGTTTTATTAATTCATACCTCAGTAATGAATTATACTCCTCTAATTATGTGGAAATTAACTTTTCATTAAAGTGGCAATTCTATACCTATTTTTCTTTCTTGTCAAGTCCAGAACCATGATTTAGACATATGAAATACTGTTCTCATCAAGGATTGGTTCTGTCTTGTATTTTGTTTCAATGAAAATATTAAAAGAGAAAGTAATTCATTTAAATTTTAGCTGTAAATGATGGGCCTTACATTTTTGTCCCCTATGAATTACTTATGGTGGTTGACAAAAATATAGATTCCTGGGATCCATACCTCGATATTATTTACTCGGTATTTATTGGGTTGGACCCAGGAATTTTCATTTTGAAAATCAACTTGGGTGATTGAGATGCAATGATTCGTAGAACACACTTTGAGTCTTATTGGAAAAACTCCCCTTGGTAGAAAATGTTTAAGTGTTTTTTTAATCCTATCTTACCAACTCCTGATTTGATACCAGAGCTTGTTTAAATTAAACCCTGTTTAAATTAAAGTCTGTTTAAATTAAAGTCTGTTTAAATTAAAGCCTATTTCTGGTAATACAACTAGCTATGTATCCATATTAACACTGTTACTGAAAGTATTTAAAGATGTTGGATGAAATATTTTAAAAAATTTAAATACATGGAAGAATAAACAAGACAGAAAAGAATTATCAGGTGAATGAAGCCATTAAAATGGTAAGAAAACTACCGAGCTATTTTTGTTCCAATATTGTTTTCCAAAGCTGGCATCATTTAGTATGTATTTTTATGATCTTGAGTGATTTGAGAACACTGCAAGCAAAAGCCAAGGCATACCCAAGATGAGATGTGAATCAGAAGACACCTTCCTCACAAAGCTGGAAAGCCAAATACCTATGCCATCAACACAGTTTTCAACCAGAAACAAACTCTGTTATATTAACATACCTACTAGAAACATACAGCTAAAGTTTCTTTGGTACTGAGCAATGCAAGATTGAAATAAACGGCAATGAAACATAATCATAAACACAAACTATTTCTTGAAGTATTTTAACCTCAAGTTCATACTGCCAAGATAAGCCATAAAAACTCAAACCTTTCATTAAGGCAGAGTACCCCCATACTGGTGGTGCCCAAACACATCTTGCAGAAGTAAATGCAAGTCCTATCCAGATAATTCCACCTTTTTTCTATCTTTCAAATAATCCCAACAATTATTTTTAAGGAGTTTTAGCAGCTCTCTGTCAAAAACTAATTGACATAAAAGAAAAGAATACAAAACAAAATGCTATGTATGAGGTATCAGAAAAATAAAACAATAGAAACATGTCCACAAAGACTTCATTTCGTTGACTTATCTGATTCAAATTTTAAAATAACTATGTTTACAATATTTAGGAAATATATGACAAGCATGAAAATATCTGCAAAGAAGTGTAAATCATAAAAATGATGTAACAGATTTGAAAAAGTAAAAAATGTAAATTATAAATATGAGAAAATATTTAAAAATGGTAATAGATGACCATAACAGCATATTTTAGGCACAACAAAACAGTTTAGAGAGTGACATTACTAAGATGGTGGACTAGGAAGCTCCAGGACCTTGTTTTTCCATCAAAACACCAAACAAACAAACAAACACATACATATTAGCTAAAATAACTTCATGGGAGCTCTGGAACACAATCTAGTATCTATAACAACCAAGCCAATGCTCAATCAAGACACATTCAAAACGGTAGAAAATTTTATAACACTTTTACTCACTCTTGCCACAAGCCCTCTCCAGCATAGTGCAGCAAGGTCAGGAAGAAGCGGCTTATTTCCTGGTTCCCTCCCTTGTGACGGAAATAACAGAATGGAAATAGTTGTCAATGTTTTAGTCTATCTGTGGGCTGCCAGAGTGACTGGTCTATCTTATTAAACTTAAAGTTCAAATGGAATTGATGGCACATTTGATTAATGTCTAAAGATGAAAGTCACAGAAGGCAGTGGTTACTGCTGTGGTGCATGAAAACCACAGGGGAACTTCAGACCTGTAGATGTCTGGGATCAAGAGATTACAGACAAATATATGCAATAGAACACCTAAGTTCCCCACAAAATCTTGGGTGAGAATATTTTAAAATTTAAGGCTTTTAAAACTATCCAGGGGGAAAACAGAAAAGAGTACCTAGACAGGCCCAGAAATGATGCATACCTAGGAAAAGAAGACTCAAGCCTTCACCTCAGGCTGATTTCAATATTCAGAGGCCCACTGATTAGTAAAAGTCTTCCATAACAATCTGTAAAGAATCAGAGGGGGCCGGGCGCAGTGGCTCACGCCTGTAATCCCAGCACTTTGGGAGGCCAA